>NC_000017.11:26081684-26243334 GCF_000001405.40 Homo sapiens | reverse complement strand
AACCTTCAACTCTGTGACTTGAATGCAATCATCACAAAGAAGTTTCTGACAATGCTTCTATCTAGCTTTTACGGGAAGATAATTCCTTTTCCACCACAGGCCTCAAAGCCCTCCAAATGTCCACTTGCAGATTCTGGAAAAAGAGTGTTTCAAAGCTTCTCTCTCGAAAGGAAAGTTCAACTCTGTGAGTTGAATGCAAGCATCACAAAGAAGTTTCTGAGAATGCTACTGTATAGCTTTTATATGAAGCTATTTCCTTTACTACCATAGTCCTCAAAGCATTCCATATCTCCACTTGCAGATTCTACACAAAGAGAGTTTCCAAACTGCTCTGTCAAAGGGAATGTTCAGCTCTGTGACTTGAATGCAATCATCACAAAGTAGTTTCTCAGAATGCTTCTGTTTAGTTCTGTGCGGTTTATCCCGTTTCCAACGAAATCCTCAGAGAGGCCCACATATCCACTTGCACCTTCTAGAAATAGTGTGTTTCGAAACTGCTCCATCCAAAGGAATGTTCAGCTCTGTGAGTTAAACTCAGTCGTCACCAAGAGTTTTCTGTGAATGCTTCTGTTTTAGTTCTGTGCGGGTTATCCCGTTTCCAACGAAATCCTCAGAGAGGTCCAAATATCTACTTGCAGTTTCTACAGAAAGACCGTTTCAAACCTGAACTATCAAAGAAAGGTTCAACACTGTGAGTTGAATGCAAACATCACGAAGAAGGTTCTGAGAATGCTTCTGTTTTAGTTCTGTGCGGTTTATCCCGTTTCCAACGAAATCCTCAGAGAGGACCAAACATCCACTTGCAGTTTCTACAAAAAGAGTGTTTCAAAGCTGCACTATCAAAGAAAGGTTCAGCACTGTGAGTTGAATGCAAACATCACGAAGAGGGCTCTGAGAATTCTTCTGTCTTCTTTTTATAGGAAGTTATTTCCTTTACTACGGTACTCCTCAAAGAGTGCAATTATCCCCTTGCAGTTTCTACAAAAAGAGTGTTTCAAACCTGAACTATCAAAGAAAGGTTCCACACTGTGAGTTGAATGCAGACATCACGAAGAAGGTTCTGAGAATGCTTCTGTTTAGTCAGCTGAAATTATCCCGTTTCCAACGAATTCCTCAGAGAGGTCCAAATATGCACTTGCAGATTCTGCAGAAAGTGTGTTTCTAAACTGCTACATCGCAAGGAATGTTCAGCTCTGTGAGTTCAACTCAATCATCCCAAAGAGTTTTCTGAGAAAGCTTCTGTCTAGATGTCGTGTGAAGATATACCCGTTTCGAACGAAGGACACAGAGTGGTCCAAATATCCACTTGTAGATCCTGCAAAAAGAGTGTTTCAAACGTGAACTTTGAAAGGAAAGTTCAACTCTGGGATTTGAATGCAAACATCACAAAGAAGATTCTGAGACTGCTTCTGTGTAGTTTTTATGTGAAGATGATTCCGTTTCCAACGAAATCTTCAAAGAGGTCTACATGTCCCCTTGCAGATGCCACAGAAAGAGAGTTTCAAAACTGCGCTCTCAAAAGGAGTGTTCAACTCCGTGAGTTGAATGCAGTCATCACAGAGAAGCTTCTGAGGATGCTTCTATCTAGTATTTAGGTGAAGATATTTCCTTTTCCACCACAAACCACAAAGCCCTCCAAACGTCCACTTGCAGATTCTAGAAAAAGAGTGTTTCATAGCTGCTCTTTCCAAAGGAAAGTTCAACTCTGGGAGTTGAATACAAACATCACCAAAAAGTTCCTGAGAATGCATCTGTCTAGTTTTTCTATGAAGCTATTCCCTTTACTACCATAGGCCTCAAAGCGCTCCAAATCTCCACTTGCACATTCCACAACAAGAGTGTTTCCAAACTGCTCTATCAATAGGAATGTTCAACTCTGTGAGGTGAATGCAATCATCACAAAGCAGTTTCTGAGAATGCTTCCGTTTAGTTAGGTGCAGTTATCCCGTTTCCAACGAAATCCTCAGAGAGGTCCAAATATCCACTTGTAGATTCTACAAAAAGTGTGTCTCAAACCTGCTCCATCCAAAGGAATGGTCAGCTCTGTGATTTAAACTCAATCATCACAAAGTATTTTCTGAGAATGCTTCTGTCTAGATTTTATGCGAAGATATACCCGTTTCGAACGAAGGCCACAGAGTGGTCCAAATAGCCACTTGCAGATCCTACAAAAAGAGTGTTTCAAACCTGAACTATCAAAGGAAGGTTCAACTCTGGGATTTGAATGCAAACATCACCAAGAAGTTTCTGAGAATGCTTCTGTTTAGTTTTTATGTGAAGATATTCCCGTTTCCAAAGACATCTTCGGAGAGGTCCACATATCCACTTGCAGATTCCACAAAAAGAGAGTTTCAACAATGCTCTATCCATAGGAGGGTTCAAATCTGTGAGTTGAATGCAATCATCACAGAGAAGTTTCTGAGAAGGCTTCTCTCCAGTTTTTATGTGACCATAATTCGTTTTCCACCACAGGCCTGAAAGCGCTCCAAATGTCCACTTGCAGACACTACGAAAAGCATGTTTCAGAACTACTCTATGAAAAGCAACGTGAAACTCTGGGAGTTGAACACAAACATCACAGAGAAGTTTCTGAGAATGCTTCTGTTTTAGTTCTGTGCGTTTTATCCCGTTTCCAACGAAATCCTCAGAGAGGCCCAAATATCCACTTGCAGATTCCACAGAAAGAGTGATTGGAAACTGCTGTTTGAAAAGGAACCTTCAACTCTGTGAGTTGAATGCAATCATCACAAAGAAGTTTCTGACAATGCTTCTATCTAGCTTTTACGGGAAGATAATTCCTTTTCCACCACAGGCCTCAAAGCTCCCCAAATGTCCACTTGCACATTCTGGAAAAAGAGTGTTTCAAAGCTTCTCTCTCGAAAGGAAAGTTCAACTCTGTGAGTTGAATGCAAGCATCACAAAGAAGTTTCTGAGAATGCTACTGTCTAGGTTTTATATGAAGCTATTTCCTTTACTACCATAGGCCTCAAAGCGGTCCATATCTCCACTTGCAGATTCTACACAAAGAGAGTTTCCAAACTGCTCTGTCAAAGGGAATGTTCAACTCTGTGACTTGAATGCAATCATCACAAAGTAGTTTCTGAGAATGCTTCTGTTTAGTTCTGTGCGGTTTATCCCGTTTCCAACGAAATCCTCAGAGAGGCCTAAATATCCACTTGCACATTCTACAAATAGTGTGTTTCGAAACTGCTCCATCCAAAGGAATGTTCAGCTCTGTGAGTTAAACTCAGTCGTCACCAAGAGTTTTCTGTGAATGCTTCTGTTTTAGTTCTGTGCGGTTTATCCCGTTTCCAACGAAATCCTCAGAGAGGTCCAAATATCTACTTGCAGTTTCTACAGAAAGACCGTTTCCAACCTGAACTATCAAAGAAAGGTTCAACACTGTGAGTTGAATGCAAACATCACGAAGAAGGTTCAGAGAATGCTTCTGTTTTAGTTCTGTGCGGTTTATCCCGTTTCCAACGAAATCCTCAGAGAGGACCAAACATCCACTTGCAGTTTCTACAAAAAGAGTGTTTCAAAGCTGCACTATCAAAGAAAGGTTCAGCACTGTGAGTTGAATGCAAACATCACGAAGAGGGCTCTGAGAATTCTTCTGTCTTCTTTTTATAGGAAGTTATTTCCTTTACTACGGTAGGCCTCAAAGAAGTGCAATTATCCCCTTGCAGTTTCTACAAAAAGAGTGTTTCAAACCTGAACTATCAAAGAAAGGTTCCACACTGTGAGTTGAATGCAGACATCACGAAGAAGGTTCTGAGAATGCTTCTGTTTAGTCAGCTGAAATTATCCCGTTTCCAACGAATTCCTCAGAGAGGTCCAAATATGCACTTGCAGATTCTGCAGAAAGTGTGTTTCTAAACTGCTACATCGCAAGGAATGTTCAGCTCTGTGAGTTCCACTCAATCATCCCAAAGAATTTTCTGAGAAAGCTTCTGTCTAGATGTCATGTGAAGATATACCCGTTTCGAACGAAGGACACAGAGTGGTCCAAATATCCACTTGTAGATCCTGCAAAAAGAGTGTTTCAAACGTGAACTTTGAAAGGAAAGTTCAACTCTGGGATTTGAATGCAAACATCACAAAGAAGATTCTGAGACTGCTTCTGTATAGTTTTTATGTGAAGATGAATTCCGTTTCCAACGAAATCTTCAAAGAGGTCTACATGTCCCCTTGCAGATGCCACAGAAAGAGAGTTTCAAAACTGCGCTCTCAAAAGGAGTGTTCAACTCCGTGAGTTGAATGCAGTCATCACAGAGAAGCTTCTGAGAATGCTTCTATCTAGTATTTAGGTGAAGATATTTCCTTTTCCACCACAAACCACAAAGCCCTCCAAACGTCCACTTGCAGATTCTAGAAAAAGAGTGTTTCATAGCTGCTCTTTCCAAAGGAAAGTTCAACTCTGGGAGTTGAATACAAACATCACCAAAAGGTTCCTGAGAATGCATCTGTCTAGTTTTTCTATGAAGCTATTCCCTTTACTACCATAGGCCTCAAAGCGCTCCAAATCTCCACTTGCACATTCCACAACAAGAGTGTTTCCAAACTGCTCTATCAATAGGAATGTTCAACTCTGTGAGGTGAATGCAATCATCACAAAGCAGTTTCTGAGAATGCTTCCGTTTAGTTAGGTGCAGTTATCCCGTTTCCAACGAAATCCTCAGAGAGGTCCAAATATCCACTTGTAGATTCTACAAAAAGTGTGTCTCAAACCTGCTCCATCCAAAGGAATGGTCAGCTCTGTGATTTAAACTCAATCATCACAAAGTATTTTCTGAGAATGCTTCTGTCTAGATTTTATGCGAAGATATACCCGTTTCGAACGAAGGCCACAGAGTGGTCCAAATAGCCACTTGCAGATCCTACAGAAAGAGTGTTTCAAACCTGAACTATCAAAGGAAGGTTCAACTCTGGGATTTGAATGCAAACATCACCAAGAAGTTTCTGAGAATGCTTCTGTTTAGTTTTTATGTGAAGATATTCCCGTTTCCAAAGACATCTTCGGAGAGGTCCACATATCCACTTGCAGATTCCACAAAAAGAGAGTTTCAACACTGCTCTATCCATAGGAGGGTTCAACTCTGTGAGTTGAATGCAATCATCACAGAGAAGTTTCTGAGAAGGCTTCTCTCCAGTTTTTATGTGACCATAATTCGTTTTCCACCACAGGCCTGAAAGCGCTCCAAATGTCCACTTGCAGACACTACGAAAAGCATGTTTCAGAACTACTCTATGAAAAGCAATGTGAAACTCTGGGAGTTGAACACAAACATCACAGAGAAGTTTCTGAGAATGCTTCTGTTTAGCTTTTCTGTGAAGATTCTCCCGTTTCCAACGAAATCTTCAAAGAGGTCCAAATATCCACTTGCAGATTCCACAGAAAGAGTGTTTGGAAACTGCTGTTTGTAAAGGAACCTTCATCTCTGTGAGTTGAATGCAATCATCACAAAGAAGTTTCTGACAATGCTTCTATCTAGCTTTTACGGGAAGATAATTCCTTTTCCACCACAGGCCTCAAAGCCCTCCAAATGTCCACTTGCAGATTCTGGAAAAAGAGTGTTTCAAAGCTTCTCTCTCGAAAGGAAAGTTCAACTCTGTGAGTTGAATGCAAGCATCACAAAGAAGTTTCTGAGAATGCTACTGTCTAGCTTTTATATGAAGCTATTTCCTTTACTACCATAGGCCTCAAAGCGGTCCATATCTCCACTTGCAGATTCTACACAAAGAGAGTTTCCAAACTGCTCTGTCAAAGGGAATGTTCAACTCTGTGACTTGAATGCAATCACCACAAAGCAGTTTCTGAGAATGCTTCTGTTTAGTTCTGTGCGGTTTATCCCGTTTCCAACGAAATCCTCAGAGAGGCCCAAATATCCACTTGCACATTCTACAAATAGTGTGTCTCGAAACTGCTCCATCCAAAGGAATGTTCAGCTCTGTGAGTTAAACTCAGTCGTCACCAAGAGTTTTCTGTGAATGCTTCCGTTTAGTTAGGTGCAGTTATCCCGTTTCCAACGAAATCCTCAGAGAGGTCCAAATATCTACTTGCAGTTTCTACAGAAAGACCGTTTGAAACCTGAACTATCAAAGAAAGGTTCAACACTGTGAGTTGAATGCAAACATCACGAAGAAGGTTCTGAGAATGCTTCTGTTTAGTTCTGTGCGGTTTATCCCGTTTCCAACGAAATCCTCAGAGAGGACCAAATATCCACTTGCAGTTTCTACAAGAAGAGTGTTTCAAAGCTGAACTATCAAAGAAAGGTTCAGCACTGTGAGTTGAATGCAAACATCACGAAGAGGGTTCTGAGAATGCTTCTGTCTTCTTTCTATAGGAAGTTATTTCCTTTACTACGGTAGGCCTCAAAGAAGTGCAATTATCCCCTTGCAGTTTCTACAAAAAGAGTGTTTCAAACCTGAACTATCAAAGAAAGGTTCCACACTGTGAGTTGAATGCAGACATCACGAAGAAGGTTCTGAGAATGCTTCTGTTTAGTCAGCTGAAATTATCCCGTTTCCAACGAATTCCTCAGAGAGGTCCAAATATGCACTTGCAGATTCTGCAGAAAGTGTGTTTCTAAACTGCTACATCGCAAGGAATGTTCAGCTCTGTGAGTTCCACTCAATCAACCCAAAGAATTTTCTGAGAAAGCTTCTGTCTAGATGTCATGTGAAGATGTACCCGTTTCGAACGAAGGACACAGAGTGGTCCAAATATCCACTTGTAGATCCTGCAAAAAGAGTGTTTCAAACGTGAACTTTGAAAGGAAAGTTCAACTCTGGGATTTGAATGCAAACATCACAAAGAAGATTCTGAGACTGCTTCTGTATAGTTTTTATGTGAAGATGATTCCGTTTCCAACGAAATCTTCAAAGAGGTCTACATGTCCCCTTGCAGATGCCACAGAAAGAGAGTTTCAAAACTGCGCTCTCAAAAGGAGTGTTCAACTCCGTGAGTTGAATGCAGTCATCACAGAGAAGCTTCTGAGAATGCTTCTATCTAGTATTTAGGTGAAGATATTTCCTTTTCCACCACAAACCACAAAGCCCTCCAAACGTCCACTTCCAGATTCTAGAAAAAGAGTGTTTCATAGCTGCTCTTTCCAAAGGAAAGTTCAACTGCTGGGAGTTGAATACAAACATCACCAAAAAGTTCCTGAGAATGCATCTGTCTAGTTTTTCTATGAAGCTATTTCCTTTACTACCATAGGCCTCAAAGCGCTCCAAATCTCCACTTGCACATTCCACAGCAAGAGTGTTTCCAAACTGCTCTATCAATAGGAATGTTCAACTCTGTGAGGTGAATGCAATCATCACAAAGCAGTTTCTGAGAATGCTTCCGTTTAGTTAGGTGCAGTTATCCCGTTTCCAACGAAATCCTCAGAGAGGTCCAAATATCCACTTGTAGATTCTACAAAAAGTGTGTCTCAAACCTGCTCCATCCAAAGGAATGGTCAGCTCTGTGATTTAAACTCAATCATCACAAAGTATTTTCTGAGAATGCTTCTGTCTAGATTTTATGCGAAGATATACCCGTTTCGAACGAAGGCCACAGAGTGGTCCAAATATCCACTTGCAGATCCTACAAAAAGAGTGTTTCAAACCTGAACTATCAAAGGAAGGTTCAACTCTGGGATTTGAATGCAAACATCACCAAGAAGTTTCTGAGAATGCTTCTGTTTAGTTTTTATGTGAAGATATTCCCGTTTCCAAAGACATCTTCGGAGAGGTCCACATATCCACTTGCAGATTCCACAAAAAGAGAGTTTCAACACTGCTCTATCCATAGGAGGGTTCAACTCTGTGAGTTGAATGCAATCATCACAGAGAAGTTTCTGAGAAGGCTTCTCTCCAGTTTTTATGTGACCATAATTCGTTTTCCACCACAGGCCTGAAAGCGCTCCAAATGTCCACTTGCAGACACTACGAAAAGCATGTTTCAGAACTACTCTATGAAAAGCAACGTGAAACTCTGGGAGTTGAACACAAACATCACAGAGAAGTTTCTGAGAATGCTTCTGTTTTAGTTCTGTGCGTTTTATCCCGTTTCCAACGAAATCCTCAGAGAGGCCCAAATATCCACTTGCAGATTCCACAGAAAGAGTGATTGGAAACTGCTGTTTGAAAAGGAACCTTCAACTCTGTGAGTTGAATGCAATCATCACAAAGAAGTTTCTGACAATGCTTCTATCTAGCTTTTACGGGAAGATAATTCCTTTTCCACCACAGACATCAAAGCCCTCCAAAGGTCCACTTGCAGATTCTGGAAAAAGAGTGTTTCAAAGCTTCTCTCTCGAAAGGAAAGTTCAACTCTGTGAGTTGAATGCAAGCATCACAAAGAAGTTTCTGAGAATGCTACTGTCTAGCTTTTATATGAAGCTATTTCCTTTACTACCATAGGCCTCAAAGCGGTCCATATCTCCACTTGCAGATTCTACACAAAGAGAGTTTCCAAACTGCTCTGTCAAAGGGAATGTTCAACTCTGTGACTTGAATGCAATCATCACAAAGTAGTTTCTGAGAATGCTTCTGTTTAGTTCTGTGCGGTTTATCCCGTTTCCAACGAAATCCTCAGAGAGGCCCACATATCCACTTGCACATTCTACAAATAGTGTGTTTCGAAACTGCTCCATCCAAAGGAATGTTCAGCTCTGTGAGTTAAACTCAGTCGTCACCAAGAGTTTTCTGTGAATGCTTCTGTTTTAGTTCTGTGCGGTTTATCCCGTTTCCAACGAAATCCTCAGAGAGGTCCAAATATCTACTTGCAGTTTCTACAGAAAGACCGTTTCAAACCTGAACTATCAAAGAAAGGTTCAACACTGTGAGTTGAATGCAAACATCACGAAGAAGGTTCTGAGAATGCTTCTGTTTAGTTCTGTGCGTTTTATCCCTTTTCCAACGAAATCCTCAGAGAGGACCAAATATCCATTTGCAGTTTCTACAAAAAGAGTGTTTCAAAGCTGAACTATCAAAGAAAGGTTCAGCACTGTGAGTTGAATGCAAACATCACGAAGAGGGTTCTGAGAATGCTTCTGTCTTCTTTTTAGAGGAAGTTATTTCCTTTACTACGGTACTCCTCAAAGAGTGCAATTATCCCCTTGCAGTTTCTACAAAAAGAGTGTTTCAAACCTGAACTATCAAGGAAAGGTTCCACACTGTGAGTTGAATGCAGACATCACGAAGAAGGTTCTGAGAATGCTTCTGTTTAGTCAGCTGAAATTATCCCGTTTCCAACGAATTCCTCAGAGAGGTCCAAATATGCACTTGCAGATTCTGCAGAAAGTGTGTTTCTAAACTGCTACATCGCAAGGAATGTTCAGCTCTGTGAGTTCCACTCAATCATCCCAAAGAATTTTCTGAGAAAGCTTCTGTCTAGATGTCATGTGAAGATATACCCGTTTCGAACGAAGGACACAGAGTGGTCCAAATATCCACTTGTAGATCCTGCAAAAAGAGTGTTTCAAACGTGAACTTTGAAAGGAAAGTTCAACTCGGGGATTTGAATGCAAACATCACAAAGAAGATTCTGAGACTGCTTCTGTATAGTTTTTATGTGAAGATGATTCCGTTTCCAACGAAATCTTCAAAGAGGTCTACATGTCCCCTTGCAGATGCCACAGAAAGAGAGTTTCAAAACTGCGCTCTCAAAAGGAGTGTTCAACTCCGTGAGTTGAATGCAGTCATCACAGAGAAGCTTCTGAGAATGCTTCTATCTAGTATTTAGGTGAAGATAATTCCTTTTCCACCACAAACCACAAAGCCCTCCAAACGTCCACTTGCAGATTCTAGAAAAAGAGTGTTTCATAGCTGCTCTTTCCAAAGGAAAGTTCAACTCTGGGAGTTGAATACAAACATAACCAAAATGTTCCTGAGAATGCATCTGTCTAGTTTTTCTATGAAGCTATTCCCTTTACTACCATAGGCCTCAAAGCGCTCCAAATCTCCACTTGCACATTCCACAACAAGAGTGTTTCCAAACTGCTCTATCAATAGGAATGTTCAACTCTGTGAGGTGAATGCAATCATCACAAAGCAGTTTCTGAGAATGCTTCCGTTTAGTTAGGTGCAGTTATCCCGTTTCCAACGAAATCCTCAGAGAGGTCCAAATATCCACTTGTAGATTCTACAAAAAGTGTGTCTCAAACCTGCTCCATCCAAAGGAATGTTCAGCTCTGTGAGTTAAACTCAATCATCACAAAGTATTTTCTGAGAATGCTTCTGTCTAGATTTTATGCGAAGATATACCCGTTTCGAACGAAGGCCACAGAGTGGTCCAAATAGCCACTTGCAGATCCTACAGAAAGAGTGTTTCAAACCTGAACTATCAAAGGAAGGTTCAACTCTGGGATTTGAATGCAAACATCACCAAGAAGTTTCTGAGAATGCTTCTGTTTAGTTTTTATGTGAAGATATTCCCGTTTCCAAAGACATCTTCGGAGAGGTCCACATATCCACTTGCAGATTCCACAAAAAGAGAGTTTCAACACTGCTCTATCCATAGGAGGGTTCAACTCTGTGAGTTGAATGCAATCATCACAGAGAAGTTTCTGAGAAGGCTTCTCTCCAGTTTTTATGTGACCATAATTCGTTTTCCACCACAGGCCTGAAAGCGCTCCAAATGTCCACTTGCAGACACTACGAAAAGCATGTTTCAGAACTACTCTATGAAAAGCAACGTGAAACTCTGGGAGTTGAACACAAACATCACAGAGAAGTTTCTGAGAATGCTTCTGTTTTAGTTCTGTGCGTTTTATCCCGTTTCCAACGAAATCCTCAGAGAGGCCCAAATATCCACTTGCAGATTCCACAGAAAGAGTGATTGGAAACTGCTGTTTGAAAAGGAACCTTCAACTCTGTGAGTTGAATGCAATCATCACAAAGAAGTTTCTGACAATGCTTCTATCTAGCTTTTACGGGAAGATAATTCCTTTTCCACCACAGGCCTCAAAGCCCTCCAAATGTCCACTTGCAGATTCTGGAAAAAGAGTGTTTCAAAGCTTCTCTCTCGAAAGGAAAGTTCAACTCTGTGAGTTGAATGCAAGCATCACAAAGAAGTTTCTGAGAATGCTACTGTCTAGCTTTTATATGAAGCTATTTCCTTTACTACCATAGGCCTCAAAGCGGTCCATATCTCCACTTGCAGATTCTACACAAAGAGAGTTTCCAAACTGCTCTGTCAAAGGGAATGTTCAACTCTGTGACTTGAATGCAATCATCACAAAGTAGTTTCTGAGAATGCTTCTGTTTAGTTCTGTGCGGTTTATCCCGTTTCCAACGAAATCCTCAGAGAGGCCTAAATATCCACTTGCACATTCTACAAATAGTGTGTTTCGAAACTGCTCCATCCAAAGGAATGTTCAGCTCTGTGAGTTAAACTCAGTCGTCACCAAGAGTTTTTCTGTGAATGCTTCTGTTTTAGTTCTGTGCGGGTTATCCCGTTTCCAACGAAATCCTCAGAGAGGTCCAAATATCTACTTGCAGTTTCTACAGAAAGACCGTTTCAAACCTGAACTATCAAAGAAAGGTTCAACACTGTGAGTTGAATGCAAACATCACGAAGAAGGTTCTGAGAATGCTTCTGTTTTAGTTCTGTGCGGTTTATCCCGTTTCCAACGAAATCCTCAGAGAGGACCAAACATCCACTTGCAGTTTCTACAAAAAGAGTGTTTCAAAGCTGCACTATCAAAGAAAGGTTCAGCACTGTGAGTTGAATGCAAACATCACGAAGAGGGCTCTGAGAATTCTTCTGTCTTCTTTCTATAGGAAGTTATTTCCTTTACTACGGTAGGCCTCAAAGAAGTGCAATTATCCCCTTGCAGTTTCTACAAAAAGAGTGTTTCAAACCTGAACTATCAAAGAAAGGTTCCACACTGTGAGTTGAATGCAGACATCACGAAGAAGGTTCTGAGAATGCTTCTGTTTAGTCAGCTGAAATTATCCCGTTTCCAACGAATTCCTCGGAGAGGTCCAAATATGCACTTGCAGATTCTGCAGAAAGTGTGTTTCTAAACTGCTACATCGCAAGGAATGTTCAGCTCTGTGAGTTCCACTCAATCATCCCAAAGAATTTTCTGAGAAAGCTTCTGTCTAGATGTCGTGTGAAGTTATACCCGTTTCGAACGAAGGACACAGAGTGGTCCAAATATCCACTTGTAGATCCTGCAAAAAGAGTGTTTCAAACGTGAACTTTGAAAGGAAAGTTCAACTCTGGGATTTGAATGCAAACATCACAAAGAAGATTCTGAGACTGCTTCTGTATAGTTTTTATGTGAAGATGATTCCGTTTCCAACGAAATCTTCAAAGAGGTCTACATGTCCCCTTGCAGATGCCACAGAAAGAGAGTTTCAAAACTACGCTCTCAAAAGGAGTGTTCAACTCCGTGAGTTGAATGCAGTCATCACAGAGAAGCTTCTGAGAATGCTTCTATCTAGTATTTAGGTGAAGATATTTCCTTTTCCACCACAAACCACAAAGCCCTCCAAACGTCCACTTGCAGATTCTAGAAAAAGAGTGTTTCATAGCTGCTCTTTCCAAAGGAAAGTTCAACTCTGGGAGTTGAATACAAACATCACCAAAAAGTTCCTGAGAATGCATCTGTCTAGTTTTTCTATGAAGCTATTCCCTTTACTACCATAGGCCTCAAAGCGCTCCAAATCTCCACTTGCACATTCCACAACAAGAGTGTTTCCAAACTGCTCTATCAATAGGAATGTTCAACTCTGTGAGGTGAATGCAATCATCACAAAGCAGTTTCTGAGAATGCTTCCGTTTAGTTAGGTGCAGTTATCCCGTTTCCAACGAAATCCTCAGAGAGGTCCAAATATCCACTTGTAGATTCTACAAAAAGTGTGTCTCAAACCTGCTCCATCCAAAGGAATGTTCAGCTCTGTGAGTTCAACGCAATCATCACAAAGTATTTTCTGAGAATGCTTCTGTCTAGATTTTATGCGAAGATGTACCCGTTTCGAACGAAGGGCACAGAGTGGTCCAAATATCCACTTGCAGATCCTACAAAAAGAGTGTTTCAAACCTGAACTCTCAAAGGAAGGTTCAACTCTGGGATTTGAATGCAAACATCACCAAGAAGTTTCTGAGAATGCTTCTGTTTAGTTTTTATGTGAAGATATTCCCGTTTCCAAAGACATCTTCGGAGAGGTCCACATATCCACTTGCAGATTCCACAAAAAGAGAGTTTCAACACTGCTCTATCCATAGGAGGGTTCAACTCTGTGAGTTGAATGCAATCATCACAGAGAAGTTTCTGAGAAGGCTTCTCTCCAGTTTTTATGTGACCATAATTCGTTTTCCACCACAGGCCTGAAAGCGCTCCAAATGTCCACTTGCAGACACTACGAAAAGCATGTTTCAGAACTACTCTATGAAAAGCAACGTGAAACTCTGGGAGTTGAACACAAACATCACAGAGAAGTTTCTGAGAATGCTTCTGTTTTAGTTCTGTGCGTTTTATCCCGTTTCCAACGAAATCCTCAGAGAGGCCCAAATATCCACTTGCAGATTCCACAGAAAGAGTGATTGGAAACTGCTGTTTGAAAAGGAACCTTCAACTCTGTGAGTTGAATGCAATCATCACAAAGAAGTTTCTGACAATGCTTCTATCTAGCTTTTACGGGAAGATAATTCCTTTTCCACCACAGGCCTCAAAGCCCTCCAAATTTCCACTTGCAGATTCTGGAAAAAGAGTGTTTCAAAGCTTCTCTCTCGAAAGGAAAGTTCAACTCTGTGAGTTGAATGCAAGCATCACAAAGAAGTTTCTGAGAATGCTACTGTCTAGCTTTTATATGAAGCTATTTCCTTTACTACCATAGTCCTCAAAGCGGTCCATATCTCCACTTGCAGATTCTACACAAAGAGAGTTTCCAAACTGCTCTGTCAAAGGGAATGTTCAACTCTGTGACTTGAATGCAATCATCACAAAGTAGTTTCTGAGAATGCTTCTGTTTAGTTCTGTGCGGTTTATCCCGTTTCCAACGAAATCCTCAGAGAGGCCCCAATATCCACTTGCACATTCTACAAATAGTGTGTTTCGAAACTGCTCCATCCAAAGGGATGTTCAGCTCTGTGAGTTAAACTCAGTCGTCACCAAGAGTTTTCTGTGAATGCTTCTGTTTTAGTTCTGTGCGGTTTATCCCGTTTCCAACGAAATCCTCAGAGAGGTCCAAATATCTACTTGCAGTTTCTGCAGAAAGACCGTTTCAAACCTGAACTATCAAAGAAAGGTTCAACACTGTGAGTTGAATGCAAACATCACGAAGAAGGTTCTGAGAATGCTTCTGTTTAGTTCTGTGCGGTTTATCCCGTTTCCAACGAAATCCTCAGAGAGGACCAAATATCGACTTGCAGTTTCTACAAAAAGAGTGTTTCAAAGCTGAACTATCAAAGAAAGGTTCAGCAGTGTGAGTTGAATGCAAACATCACGAAGAAGGTTCTGAGAATGCTTCTGTCTTCTTTTTATAGTAAGTTATCTCCTTTACTACGGTAGGCCTCAAAGAAGTGCAATGATCCCCTTGCAGTTTCTACAAAAAGAGTGTTTCAAACCTGAACTATCAAAGAAAGGTTCCACACTGTGAGTTGAATGCAGACATCACGAAGAAGGTTCTGAGAATGCTTCTGTTTAGTCAGCTGAAATTATCCCGTTTCCAACGAATTCCTCAGAGAGGTCCAAATATGCACTTGCAGATTCTGCAGAAAGTGTGTTTCTAAACTGCTACATCGCAAGGAATGCTCAGCTCTGTGAGTTCAAATCAATCATCCCAAACAATTTTCTGAGAAAGCTTCTGTCTAGATGTCGTGTGAAGATATACCCGTTTCGAACGAAGGACACAGAGTGGTCCAAATATCCACTTGTAGATCCTGCAAAAAGAGTGTTTCAAACGTGAACTTTGAAAGGAAAGTTCAACTCTGGGATTTGAATGCAAACATCACAAAGAAGATTCTGAGACTGCTTCTGTATAGTTTTTATGTGAAGATGATTCCGTTTCCAACGAAATCTTCAAAGAGGTCTACATGTCCCCTTGCAGATGCCACAGAAACAGAGTTTCAAAACTGCGCTCTCAAAAGGAGTGTTCAATTCCGTGAGTTGAATGCAGTCATCACAGAGAAGCTTCTGAGAATGCTTCTATCTAGTATTTAGGTGAAGATATTTCCTTTTCCACCACAAACCACAAAGCCCTCCAAACGTCCACTTGCAGATTCTAGAAAAAGAGTGTTTCATAGCTGCTCTTTCCAAAGGAAAGTTCAACTCTGGGAGTTGAATACAAACATCACCAAAAAGTTCCTGAGAATGCATCTGTCTAGTTTTTCTATGAAGTTATTCCCTTTACTACCATAGGCCTCAAAGCGCTCCAAATCTCCACTTGCACATTCCACAACAGGAGTGTTTCCAAACTGCTCTATCAATAGGAATGTTCAACTCTGTGAGGTGAATGCAATCATCACAAAGCAGTTTCTGAGAACGCTTCCGTTTAGTTAGGTGCAGTTATCCCGTTTCCAACGAAATCCTCAGAGAGGTCCAAATATCCACTTGTAGATTCTACAAAAAGTGTGTCTCAAACCTGCTCCATCCAAAGGAATGGTCAGCTCTGTGATTTAAACTCAATCATCACAAAGTATTTTCTGAGAATGCTTCTGTCTAGATTTTATGCGAAGATATACCCGTTTCGAACGAAGGCCACAGAGTGGTCCAAATAGCCACTTGCAGATCCTACAGAAAGAGTGTTTCAAACCTGAACTATCAAAGGAAGGTTCAACTCTGGGATTTGAATGCAAACATCACCAAGAAGTTTCTGAGAATGCTTCTGTTTAGTTTTTATGTGAAGATATTCCCGTTTCCAAAGACATCTTCGGAGAGGTCCACATATCCACTTGCAGATTCCACAAAAAGAGAGTTTCAACACTGCTCTATCCATAGGAGGGTTCAACTCTGTGAGTTGAATGCAATCATCACAGAGAAGTTTCTGAGAAGGCTTCTCTCCAGTTTTTATGTGACCATAATTCGTTTTCCACCACAGGCCTGAAAGCGCTCCAAATGTCCACTTGCAGACACTACGAAAAGCATGTTTCAGAACTACTCTATGAAAAGCAACGTGAAACTCTGGGAGTTGAACACAAACATCACAGAGAAGTTTCTGAGAATGCTTCTGTTTAGCTTTTCTGTGAAGATTCTCCCGTTTCCAACGAAATCTTCAAAGAGGTCGAAATATCCACTTGCAGATTCCACAGAAAGAGTGATTGGAAACTGCTGTTTGAAAAGGAACCTTCAACTCTGTGAGTTGAATGCAATCATCACAAAGAAGTTTCTGACAATGCTTCTATCTAGCTTTTACGGGAAGTTAATTCCTTTTCCACCACAGGCCTCAAAGCCCTCCAAATGTCCACTTGCAGATTCTGGAAAAAGAGTGTTTCAAAGCTTCTCTCTCGAAAGGAAAGTTCAACTCTGTGAGTTGAATGCAAGCATCACAAAGAAGTTTCTGAGAATGCTACTGTCTAGCTTTTATATGAAGCTATTTCCTTTACTACCATAGGCCTCAAAGCGGTCCATATCTCCACTTGCAGATTCTACACAAAGAGAGTTTCCAAACTGCTCTGTCAAAGGGAATGTTCAACTCTGTGACTTGAATGCAATCATCACAAAGTAGTTTCTGAGAATGCTTCTGTTTTAGTTCTGTGCGGTTTATCCCGTTTCCAACGAAATCCTCAGAGAGGCCCACATATCCACTTGCAGATTCTACAAATAGTGTGTTTTGAAACTGCTCCATCCAAAGGAATGTTCAGCTCTGTGAGTTAAACTCAGTCGTCACCAAGAGTTTTCTGTGAATGCTTCTGTTTAGTTCTGTGCGTTTTATCCCTTTTCCAACGAAATCCTCAGAGAGGACCAAATATCCATTTGCAGTTTCTACAAAAGGAGTGTTTCAAAGCTGAACTATCAAAGAAAGGTTCAGCACTGTGAGTTGAATGCAAACATCACGAAGAGGGTTCTGAGAATGCTTCTGTCTTCTTTCTATAGGAAGTTATTTCCTTTACTACGGTAGGCCTCAAAGAAGTGCAATTATCCCCTTGCAGTTTCTACAAAAAGAGTGTTTCAAACCTGAACTATCAAAGAAAGGTTCCACACTGTGAGTTGAATGCAGACATCACGAAGAAGGTTCTGAGAATGCTTCTGTTTAGTCAGCTGAAATTATCCCGTTTCCAACGAATTCCTCAGAGAGGTCCAAATATGCACTTGCAGATTCTGCAGAAACTGTGTTTCTAAACTGGTACATCGCAAGGAATGTTCAGCTCTGTGAGTTCCACTCAATCATCCCAAAGAATTTTCTGAGAAAGCTTCTGTCTAGATGTCATGTGAAGATATACCCGTTTCGAACGAAGGACACAGAGTGGTCCAAATATCCACTTGTAGATCCTGCAAAAAGAGTGTTTCAAACGTGAACTTTGAAAGGAAAGTTCAACTCTGGGATTTGAATGCAAACATCACAAAGAAGATTCTGAGACTGCTTCTGTATAGTTTTTATGTGAAGATGATTCCGTTTCCAACGAAATCTTCAAAGAGGTCTACATGTCCCCTTGCGGATGCCACAGAAAGAGAGTTTCAAAACTGCGCTCTCAAAAGGAGTGTTCAACTCCGTGAGTTGAATGCAGTCATCACAGAGAAGCTTCTGAGAATGCTTCTCTCTAGTATTTAGGTGAAGATATTTCCTTTTCCACCACAAACCACAAAGCCCTCCAAACGTCCACTTGCAGATTCTAGAAAAAGAGTGTTTCATAGCTGCTCTTTCCAAAGGAAAGTTCAACTCTGGGAGTTGAATACAAACATCACCAAAAAGTTCCTGAGAATGCATCTGTCTAGTTTTTCTATGAAGCTATTCCCTTTACTACCATAGGCCTCAAAGCGCTCCAAATCTCCACTTGCACATTCCACAACAAGAGTGTTTCCAAACTGCTCTATCAATAGGAATGTTCAACTCTGTGAGGTGAATGCAATCATCACAAAGCAGTTTCTGAGAATGCTTCCGTTTAGTTAGGTGCAGTTATCCCGTTTCCAACGAAATCCTCAGAGAGGTCCAAATATCCACTTGTAGATTCTACAAAAAGTGTGTCTCAAACCTGCTCCATCCAAAGGAATGGTCAGCTCTGTGATTTAAACTCAATCATCACAAAGTATTTTCTGAGAATGCTTCTGTCTAGATTTTATGCGAAGATATACCCGTTTCGAACGAAGGCCACAGAGTGGTCCAAATATCCACTTGCAGATCCTACAAAAAGAGTGTTTCAAACCTGAACTATCAAAGGAAGGTTCAACTCTGGGATTTGAATGCAAACATCACCAAGAAGTTTCTGAGAATGCTTCTGTTTAGTTTTTATGTGAAGATATTCCCGTTTCCAAAGACATCTTCGGAGAGGTCCACATATCCACTTGCAGATTCCACAAAAAGAGAGTTTCAACACTGCTCTATCCATAGGAGGGTTCAACTCTGTGAGTTGAATGCAATCATCACAGAGAAGTTTCTGAGAAGGCTTCTCTCCAGTTTTTATGTGACCATAATTCGTTTTCCACCACAGGCCTGAAAGCGCTCCAAATGTCCACTTGCAGACACTACGAAAAGCATGTTTCAGAACTACTCTATGAAAAGCAACGTGAAACTCTGGGAGTTGAACACAAACATCACAGAGAAGTTTCTGAGAATGCTTCTGTTTTAGTTCTGTGCGTTTTATCCCGTTTCCAACGAAATCCTCAGAGAGGCCCAAATATCCACTTGCAGATTCCACAGAAAGAGTGATTGGAAACTGCTGTTTGAAAAGGAACCTTCAACTCTGTGAGTTGAATGCAATCATCACAAAGAAGTTTCTGACAATGCTTCTATCTAGCTTTTACGGGAAGATAATTCCTTTTCCACCACAGGCCTCAAAGCCTTCCAAATGTCCACTTGCAGATTCTGGAAAAAGAGTGTTTCAAAGCTTCTCTCTCGAAAGGAAAGTTCAACTCTGTGAGTTGAATGCAAGCATCACAAAGAAGTTTCTGAGAATGCTACTGTCTAGCTTTTATATGAAGCTATTTCCTTTACTACCATAGTCCTCAAAGCATTCCATATCTCCACTTGCAGATTCTACACAAAGAGAGTTTCCAAACTGCTCTGTCAAAGGGAATGTTCAGCTCTGTGACTTGAATGCAATCATCACAAAGTAGTTTCTGAGAATGCTTCTGTTTAGTTCTGTGCGGTTTATCCCGTTTCCAACGAAATCCTCAGAGAGGCCCAAATATCCACTTGCACATTCTACAAATAGTGTGTTTCGAAACTGCTCCATCCAAAGGAATGTTCAGCTCTGTGAGTTAAACTCAGTCATCACCAAGAGTTTTCTGTGAATGCTTCTGTTTTAGTTCTGTGCGGGTTATCCCGTTTCCAACGAAATCCTCAGAGAGGTCCAAATATCTACTTGCAGTTTCTACAGAAAGACCGTTTCAAACCTGAACTATCAAAGAAAGGTTCAACACTGTGAGTTGAATGCAAACATCACGAAGAAGGTTCTGAGAATGCTTCTGTTTAGTTCTGTGCGGTTTATCCCGTTTCCAACGAAATCCTCAGAGAGGACCAAATATCCACTTGCAGTTTCTACAAGAAGAGTGTTTCAAAGCTGAACTATCAAAGAAAGGTTCAGCACTGTGAGTTGAATGCAAACATCACGAAGAGGGTTCTGAGAATGCTTCTGTCTTCTTTTTATAGGAAGTTATTTCCTTTACTACGGTACTCCTCAAAGAGTGCAATTATCCCCTTGCAGTTTCTACAAAAAGAGTGTTTCAAACCTGAACTATCAAAGAAAGGTTCCACACTGTGAGTTGAATGCAGACATCACGAAGAAGGTTCTGAGAATGCTTCTGTTTAGTCAGCTGAAATTATCCCGTTTCCAACGAATTCCTCAGAGAGGTCCAAATATGCACTTGCAGATTCTGCAGAAAGTGTGTTTCTAAACTGCTACATCGCAAGGAATGCTCAGCTCTGTGAGTTCAAATCAATCATCCCAAACAATTTTCTGAGAAAGCTTCTGTCTAGATGTCATGTGAAGATATACCCGTTTCGAACGAAGGACACAGAGTGGTCCAAATATCCACTTGTAGATCCTGCAAAAAGAGTGTTTCAAACGTGAACTTTGAAAGGAAAGTTCAACTCTGGGATTTGAATGCAAACATCACAAAGAAGATTCTGAGACTGCTTCTGTATAGTTTTGATGTGAAGATGATTCCGTTACCAACGAAATCTTCAAAGAGGTCTACATGTCCCCTTGCAGATGCCACAGAAAGAGAGTTTCAAAACTGCGCTCTCAAAAGGAGTGTTCAACTCCGTGAGTTGAATGCAGTCATCACAGAGAAGCTTCTGAGAATGCTTCTATCTAGTATTTAGGTGAAGATATTTCCTTTTCCACCACAAACCACAAAGCCCTCCAAACGTCCACTTGCAGATTCTAGAAAAAGAGTGTTTCATAGCTGCTCTTTCCAAAGGAAAGTTCAACTCTGGGAGTTGAATACAAACATCACCAAAAAGTTCCTGAGAATGCATCTGTCTAGTTTTTCTATGAAGCTATTCCCTTTACTACCACAGGCCTCAAAGCGCTCCAAATCTCCACTTGCACATTCCACAACAAGAGTGTTTCCAAACTGCTCTATCAATAGGAATGTTCAACTCTGTGAGGTGAATGCAATCATCACAAAGCAGTTTCTGAGAATGCTTCCGTTTAGTTCGGTGCAGTTATCCCGTTTCCAACGAAATCCTCAGAGAGGTCCAAATATCCACTTGTGGATTCTACAAAAAGTGTGTCTCAAGCCTGCTCCATCCAAAGGAATGTTCAGCTCTGTGAGTTAAACTCAATCATCACAAAGTATTTTCTGAGAATGCTTCTGTCTAGATTTTATGCGAAGATGTACCCGTTTCGAACGAAGGCCACAGAGTGGTCCAAATATCCACTTGCAGATCCTACAAAAAGAGTGTTTCAAACCTGAACTATCAAAGGAAGGTTCAACTCTGGGATTTGAATGCAAACATCACCAAGAAGTTTCTGAGAATGCTTCTGTTTAGTTTTTATGTGAAGATATTCCCGTTTCCAAAGACATCTTCGGAGAGGTCCACATATCCACTTGCAGATTCCACAAAAAGAGAGTTTCAACACTGCTCTATCCATAGGAGGGTTCAACTCTGTGAGTTGAATGCAATCATCACAGAGAAGTTTCTGAGAAGGCTTCTCTCCAGTTTTTATGTGACCATAATTCGTTTTCCACCACAGGCCTGAAAGCGCTCCAAATGTCCACTTGCAGACACTACGAAAAGCATGTTTCAGAACTACTCTATGAAAAGCAACGTGAAACTCTGGGAGTTGAACACAAACATCACAGAGAAGTTTCTGAGAATGCTTCTGTTTAGCTTTTCTGTGAAGATTCTCCCGTTTCCAACGAAATCTTCAAAGAGGTCCAAATATCCACTTGCAGATTCCACAGAAAGAGTGATTGGAAACTGCTCTTTGAAAAGGAACCTTCAACTCTGTGAGTTGAATGCAATCATCACAAAGAAGTTTCTGACAATGCTTCCATCTAGCTTTTACGGGAAGATAATTCCTTTTCCACCACAGGCCTCAAAGCCCTCCAAATCTCCACTTGCACATTCTGGAAAAAGAGTGTTTCAAAGCTTCTCTCTCGAAAGGAAAGTTCAACTCTGTGAGTTGAATGCAAGCATCACAAAGAAGTTTCTGAGAATGCCACTGTCTAGCTTTTATATGAAGCTATTTCCTTTACTACCATAGGCCTCAAAGCGGTCCATATCTCCACTTGCAGATTCTACACAATGAGAGTTTCCAAACTGCTCTGTCAAAGGGAATGTTCAACTCTGTGACTTGAATGCAATCATCACAAAGTAGTTTCTGAGAATGCTTCTGTTTAGTTCTGTGCGGTTTATCCCGTTTCCAACGAAATCCTCAGAGAGGCCCAAATATCCACTTGCACATTCTACAAATAGTGTGTTTCGAAACTGCTCCATCCAAAGGAATGTTCAGCTCTGTGAGTTAAACTCAGTCGTCACCAAGAGTTTTCTGTGAATGCTTCTGTTTTAGTTCTGTGCGGGTTATCCCGTTTCCAACGAAATCCTCAGAGAGGTCCAAATATCTACTTGCAGTTTCTACAGAAAGACCGTTTCAAACCTGAACTATCAAAGAAAGGTTCAACACTGTGAGTTGAATGCAAACATCACGAAGAAGGTTCTGAGAATGCTTCTGTTTAGTTCTGTGCGGTTTATCCCGTTTCCAACGAAATCCTCAGAGAGGACCAAATATCCACTTGCAGTTTCTACAAGAAGAGTGTTTCAAAGCTGAACTATCAAAGAAAGGTTCAGCACTGTGAGTTGAATGCAAACATCACGAAGAGGGTTCTGAGAATGCTTCTGTCTTCTTTCTATAGGAAGTTATTTCCTTTACTACGGTAGGCCTCAAAGAAGTGCAATTATCCCCTTGCAGTTTCTACAAAAAGAGTGTTTCAAACCTGAACTATCAAAGAAAGGTTCCACACTGTGAGTTGAATGCAGACACCACGAAGAAGGTTCTGAGAATGCTTCTGTTTAGTCAGCTGAAATTATCCCGTTTCCAACGAATTCCTCAGAGAGGTCCAAATATGCACTTGCAGATTCTGCAGAAAGTGTGTTTCTAAACTGCTACATCGCAAGGGAATGTTCAGCTCTGTGAGTTCCACTCAATCATCCCAAAGAATTTTCTGAGAAAGCTTCTGTCTAGATGTCGTGTGAAGATATACCCGTTTCGAACGAAGGACACAGAGTGGTCCAAATATCCACTTGTAGATCCTGCAAAAAGAGTGTTTCAAACGTGAACTTTGAAAGGAAAGTTCAACTCTGGGATTTGAATGCAAACATCACAAAGAAGATTCTGAGACTGCTTCTGTATAGTTTTTATGTGAAGATGATTCCGTTTCCAACGAAATCTTCAAAGAGGTCTACATGTCCTCTTGCAGATGCCACAGAAAGAGAGTTTCAAAACTGCGCTCTCAAAAGGAGTGTTCAACTCCGTGAGTTGAATGCAGTCATCACAGAGAAGCTTCTGAGAATGCTTCTATCTAGTATTTAGGTGAAGATATTTCCTTTTCCACCACAAACCACAAAGCCCTCCAAACGTCCACTTGCAGATTCTAGAAAAAGAGTGTTTCATAGCTGCTCTTTCCAAAGGAAAGTTCAACTCTGGGAGTTGAATACAAACATCACCAAAAAGTTCCTGAGAATGCATCTGTCTAGTTTTTCTATGAAGCTATTCCCTTTACTACCATAGGCCTCAAAGCGCTCCAAATCTCCACTTGCACATTCCACAAGAAGAGTGTTTCCAAACTGCTCTATCAATAGGAATGGTCAACTCTGTGAGGTGAATGCAATCATCACAAAGCAGTTTCTGAGAATGCTTCCGTTTAGTTAGGTGCAGTTATCAGGTTTCCAACGAAATCCTCAGAGAGGTCCAAATATCCACTTGTAGATTCTACAAAAAGTGTGTCTCAAACCTGCTCCATCCAAAGGAATGTTCAGATCTGTGAGTTAAACTCAATCATCACAAAGTATTTTCTGAGAATGCTTCTGTCTAGATTTTATGCGAAGATGTACCCGTTTCGAACGAAGGCCACAGAGTGGTCCAAATATCCACTTGCAGATCCTACAAAAAGAGTGTTTCAAACCTGAACTATCAAAGGAAGGTTCAACTCTGGGATTTGAATGCAAACATCACCAAGAAGTTTCTGAGAATGCTTCTGTTTAGTTTTTATGTGAAGATATTCCCGTTTCCAAAGACATCTTCGGAGAGGTCCACATATCCACTTGCAGATTCCACAAAAAGAGAGTTTCAACACTGCTCTATCCATAGGAGGGTTCAACTCTGTGAGTTGAATGCAATCATCACAGAGAAGTTTCTGAGAAGGCTTCTCTCCAGTTTTTATGTGACCATAATTCGTTTTCCACCACAGGCCTGAAAGCGCTCCAAATGTCCACTTGCAGACACTACGAAAAGCATGTTTCAGAACTACTCTATGAAAAGCAACGTGAAACTCTGGGAGTTGAACACAAACATCACAGAGAAGTTTCTGAGAATGCTTCTGTTTTAGTTCTGTGCGTTTTATCCCGTTTCCAACGAAATCCTCAGAGAGGCCCAAATATCCACTTGCAGATTCCACAGAAAGAGTGATTGGAAACTGCTGTTTGAAAAGGAACCTTCAACTCTGTGAGTTGAATGCAATCATCACAAAGAAGTTTCTGACAATGCTTCTATCTAGCTTTTACGGGAAGATAATTCCTTTTCCACCCCAGGCCTCAAAGCTCCCCAAATGTCCACTTGCACATTCTGGAAAAAGAGTGTTTCAAAGCTTCTCTCTCGAAAGGAAAGTTCAACTCTGTGAGTTGAATGCAAGCATCACAAAGAAGTTTCTGAGAATGCTACTGTCTAGCTTTTATATGAAGCTATTTCCTTTACTACCATAGGCCTCAAAGCGGTCCATATCTCCACTTGCAGATTCTACACAAAGAGAGTTTCCAAACTGCTCTGTCAAAGGGAATGTTCAACTCTGTGACTTGAATGCAATCATCACAAAGTAGTTTCTGAGAATGCTTCTGTTTTAGTTCTGTGCGGTTTATCCCGTTTCCAAAGAAATCCTCAGAGAGGCCCAAATATCCACTTGCACATTCTACAAATAGTGTGTTTCGAAACTGCTCCATCCAAAGGAATGTTCAGCTCTGTGAGTTAAACTCAGTCGTCACCAAGAGTTTTCTGTGAATGCTTCTGTTTTAGTTCTGTGCGGTTTATCCCGTTTCCAACGAAATCCTCAGAGAGGTCCAAATATCTACTTGCAGTTTCTACAGAAAGACCGTTTCAAACCTGAACTATCAAAGAAAGGTTCAACACTGTGAGTTGAATGCAAACATCACGAAGAAGGTTCTGAGAATGCTTCTGTTTTAGTTCTGTGCGGTTTATCCCGTTTCCAACGAAATCCTCAGAGAGGTCCAAATATCCACTTGCAGTTTCTACAAAAAGAGTGTTTCAAAGCTGAACTATCAAAGAAAGGTTCAGCACTGTGAGTTGAATGCAAACATCACGAAGAAGGTTCTGAGAATGCTTCTGTCTTCTTTCTATAGGAAGTTATTTCCTTTACTACGGTAGGCCTCAAAGAAGTGCAATTATCCCCTTGCAGTTTCTACAAAAAGAGAGTTTCAAACCTGAACTATCAAAGAAAGGTTCCACACTGTGAGTTGAATGCAGACATCACGAAGAAGGTTCTGAGAATGCTTCTGTTTAGTCAGCTGAAATTATCCCGTTTCCAACGAATTCCTCAGAGAGGTCCAAATATGCACTTGCAGATTCTGCAGAAAGTGTGTTTCTAAACTACTACATCGCAAGGAATGTTCAGCTCTGTGAGTTCCACTCAATCATCCCAAAGGATTTTCTGAGAAAGCTTCTGTCTAGATGTCATGTGAAGATATACCCGTTTCGAACGAAGGACACAGAGTGGTCCAAATATCCACTTGTAGATCCTGCAAAAAGAGTGTTTCAAACGTGAACTTTGAAAGGGAAGTTCAACTCTTGGATTTGAATGCAAACATCACAAAGAAGATTCTGAGACTGCTTCTGTATAGTTTTTATGTGAAGATGATTCCGTTTCCAACGAAATCTTCAAAGAGGTCTACATGTCCCCTTGCAGATGCCACAGAAAGAGAGTTTCAAAACTGCGCTCTCAAAAGGAGTGTTCAACTCCGTGAGTTGAATGCAGTCATCACAGAGAAGCTTCTGAGGATGCTTCTATCTAGTATTTAGGTGAAGATATTTCCTTTTCCACCACAAACCACAAAGCCCTCCAAACGTCCACTTGCAGATTCTAGAAAAAGAGTGTTTCATAGCTGCTCTTTCCAAAGGAAAGTTCAACTCTGGGAGTTGAATACAAACATCACCAAAAAGTTCCTGAGAATGCATCTGTCTAGTTTTTCTATGAAGCTATTCCCTTTACTACCATAGACCTCAAAGCGCTCCAAATCTCCACTTGCACATTCCACAACAAGAGTGTTTCCAAACTGCTCTATCAATAGGAATGTTCAACTCTGTGAGGTGAATGCAATCATCACAAAGCAGTTTCTGAGAATGCTTCCGTTTAGTTAGGTGCAGTTATCCCGTTTCCAACGAAATCCTCAGAGAGGTCCAAATATCCACTTGTAGATTCTACAAAAAGTGTGTCTCAAACCTGCTCCATCCAAAGGAATGGTCAGCTCTGTGATTTAAACTCAATCATCACAAAGTATTTTCTGAGAATGCTTCTGTCTAGATTTTATGCGAAGATATACCCGTTTCGAACGAAGGCCACAGAGTGGTCCAAATAGCCACTTGCAGATCCTACAGAAAGAGTGTTTCAAACCTGAACTATCAAAGGAAGGTTCAACTCTGGGATTTGAATGCAAACATCACCAAGAAGTTTCTGAGAATGCTTCTGTTTAGTTTTTATGTGAAGATATTCCCGTTTCCAAAGACATCTTCGGAGAGGTCCACATATCCGCTTGCAGATTCCACAAAAAGAGAGTTTCAACACTGCTCTATCCATAGGAGGGTTCAACTCTGTGAGTTGAATGCAATCATCACAGAGAAGTTTCTTAGAAGGCTTCTCTCCAGTTTTTATGTGACCATAATTCGTTTTCCACCACAGGCCTGAAAGCGCTCCAAATGTCCACTTGTAGACACTACGAAAAGCATGTTTCAGAACTACTCTATGAAAAGCAATGTGAAACTCTGGGAGTTGAACACAAACATCACAGAGAAGTTTCTGAGAATGCTTCTGTTTAGCTTTCCTGTGAAGATTCTCCCGTTTCCAACGAAATCTTCAAAATAGGTCCAAATATCCACTTGCAGATTCCACACAAAGAGTGATTGGAAACTGCTCTTTGAAAAGGAACCTTCAACTCTGTGAGTTGAATGCAATCATCACAAAGAAGTTTCTGACAATGCTTCTATCTAGCTTTTACGGGAAGATAATTCCTTTTCCACCACAGGCCTCAAAGCCCTCCAAATGTCCACTTGCAGATTCTGGAAAAAGAGTGTTTCAAAGCTTCTCTCTCGAAAGGAAAGTTCAACTCTGTGAGTTGAATGCAAGCATCACAAAGAAGTTTCTGAGAATGCTACTGTCTAGCTTTTATATGAAGCTATTTCCTTTACTACCATAGGCCTCAAAGCGGTCCATATCTCCACTTGCAGATTCTACACAAAGAGAGTTTCCAAACTGCTCTGTCAAAGGGAATGTTCAACTCTGTGACTTGAATGCAATCATCACAAAGTAGTTTCTGAGAATGCTTCTGTTTTAGTTCTGTGCGGTTTATCCCGTTTCCAACGAAATCCTCAGAGAGGCCCACATATCCACTTGCAGATTCTACAAATAGTGTGTTTCGAAACTGCTCCATCCAAAGGAATGTTCAGCTCTGTGAGTTAAACTCAGTCGTCACCAAGAGTTTTCTGTGAATGCTTCTGTTTTAGTTCTGTGCGGGTTATCCCGTTTCCAACGAAATCCTCAGAGAGGTCCAAATATCTACTTGCAGTTTCTACAGAAAGACCGTTTCAAACCTGAACTATCAAAGAAAGGTTCAACACTGTGAGTTGAATGCAAACATCACGAAGAAGGTTCTGAGAATGCTTCTGTTTTAGTTCTGTGCGGTTTATCCCGTTTCCAACGAAATCCTCAGAGAGGACCAAACATCCACTTGCAGTTTCTACAAAAAGAGTGTTTCAAAGCTGCACTATCAAAGAAAGGTTCAGCACTGTGAGTTGAATGCAAACATCACGAAGAGGGCTCTGAGAATTCTTCTGTCTTCTTTCTATAGGAAGTTATTTCCTTTACTACGGTAGGCCTCAAAGAAGTGCAATTATCCCCTTGCAGTTTCTACAAAAAGAGTGTTTCAAACCTGAACTATCAAAGAAAGGTTCCACACTGTGAGTTGAATGCAGACATCACGAAGAAGGTTCTGAGAATGCTTCTGTTTAGTCAGCTGAAATTATCCCGTTTCCAACGAATTCCTCAGAGAGGTCCAAATATGCACTTGCAGATTCTGCAGAAAGTGTGTTTCTAAACTGCTACATCGCAAGGAATGCTCAGCTCTGTGAGTTCAACTCAATCATCCCAAAGAATTTTCTGAGAAAGCTTCTGTCTAGATGTCATGTGAAGATATAACCGTTTCGAACGAAGGACACAGAGTGGTCCAAATATCCACTTGTAGATCCTGCAAAAAGAGTGTTTCAAACGTGAACTTTGAAAGGAAAGTTCAACTCTGGGATTTGAATGCAAACATCACAAAGAAGATTCTGAGACTGCTTCTGTATAGTTTTTATGTGAAGATGATTCCGTTTCCAACGAAATCTTCAAAGAGGTCTACATGTCCCCTTGCAGATGCCACAGAAAGAGAGTTTCAAAACTGCGCTCTCAAAAGGAGTGTTCAACTCCGTGAGTTGAATGCAGTCATCACAGAGAAGCTTCTGAGAATGCTTCTATCTAGTATTTAGGTGAAGATATTTCCTTTTCCACCACAAACCACAAAGCCCTCCAAACGTCCACTTGCAGATTCTAGAAAAAGAGTGTTTCATAGCTGCTCTTTCCAAAGGAAAGTTCAACTCTGGGAGTTGAATACAAACATCACCAAAAAGTTCCTGAGAATGCATCTGTCTAGTTTTTCTATGAAGCTATTCCCTTTACTACCATAGACCTCAAAGCGCTCCAAATCTCCACTTGCACATTCCACAACAAGAGTGTTTCCAAACTGCTCTATCAATAGGAATGTTCAACTCTGTGAGGTGAATGCAATCATCACAAAGCAGTTTCTGAGAATGCTTCCGTTTAGTTAGGTGCAGTTATCCCGTTTCCAACGAAATCCTCAGAGAGGTCCAAATATCCACTTGTAGATTCTACAAAAAGTGTGTCTCAAACCTGCTCCATCCAAAGGAATGTTCAGCTCTGTGAGTTCAACTCAATCATCACAAAGTATTTTCTGAGAATGCTTCTGTCTAGATTTTATGCGAAGATATACCCGTTTCGAACGAAGGCCACAGAGTGGTCCAAATATCCACTTGCAGATCCTACAAAAAGAGTGTTTCAAACCTGAACTATCAAAGGAAGGTTCAACTCTGGGATTTGAATGCAAACATCACCAAGAAGTTTCTGAGAATGCTTCTGTTTAGTTTTTATGTGAAGATATTCCCGTTTCCAAAGACATCTTCGGAGAGGTCCACATATCCACTTGCAGATTCCACAAAAAGAGAGTTTCAACAATGCTCTATCCATAGGAGGGTTCAAATCTGTGAGTTGAATGCAATCATCACAGAGAAGTTTCTGAGAAGGCTTCTCTCCAGTTTTTATGGGACCATAATTCGTTTTATACCACAGGCCTGAAAGCGCTCCAAATGTCCACTTGCAGACACTACGAAAAGCATGTTTCAGAAGTACTCTATGAGAAGCAATGTGAAACTCTGGGAGTTGAACACAAACATCACAGAGAAGTTTCTGAGAATGCTTCTGTTTAACTTTTCTGTGAAGATTCTTCCGTTTCCAACGAAATCTTCAAAGAGGTCCAAATATCCACTTGCAGATTCCACAGAAAGAGTGTTTGGAAACTGCTGTTTGTAAAGGAACCTTCATCTCTGTGAGTTGAATGCAATCATCACAAAGAAGTTTCTGACAGTGCTTCTATCTAGCTTTTACGGGATGTTAATTCCTTTTCCACCACAGGCCTCAAAGCCCTCCAAATGTCCACTTGCAGATTCTGGAAAAAGAGTGTTTCAAAGCTTCTCTCTCGAAAGGAAAGTTCAACTCTGTGAGTTGAATGCAAGCATCACAAAGAAGTTTCTGAGAATGCTACTGTCTAGCTTTTATATGAAGCTATTTCCTTTACTACCATAGGCCTCAATGTGGTCCATATCTCCACTTGCAGATTCTACACAAAGAGAGTTTCCAAACTGCTCTGTCAAAGGGAATGTTCAACTCTGTGACTTGAATGCAATCATCACAAAGTAGTTTCGGAGAATGCTTCTGTTTAGTTCTGTGCGGTTTATCCCGTTTCCAACGAAATCCTCAGAGAGGCCCAAATATCCACTTGCACATTCTACAAATAGTGTGTTTCGAAACTGCTCCATCCAAAGGAATGTTCAGCTCTGTGAGTTAAACTCAGTCGTCACCAAGAGTTTTCTGTGAATGCTTCTGTTTTAGTTCTGTGCGGGTTATCCCGTTTCCAACGAAATCCTCAGAGAGGTCCAAATATCTACTTGCAGTTTCTACAGAAAGACCGTTTCAAACCTGAACTATCAAAGAAAGGTTCAACACTGTGAGTTGAATGCAAACATCACGAAGAAGGTTCTGAGAATGCTTCTGTTTAGTTCTGTGCAGTTTATCCCGTTTCCAACGAAATCCTCAGAGAGGACCAAATATCCACTTGCAGTTTCTACAAAAAGAGTGTTTCAAAGCTGAACTATCAAAGAAAGGTTCAGCACTGTGAGTTGAATGCAAACATCACGAAGAGGGTTCTGAGAATGCTTCTGTCTTCTTTTTATAGGAAGTTATTTCCTTTACTACGGTACTCCTCAAAGAGTGCAATTATCCCCTTGCAGTTTCTACAAAAAGAGTGTTTCAAACCTGAACTATCAAAGAAAGGTTCCACACTGTGAGTTGAATGCAGACATCACGAAGAAGGTTCTGAGAATGCTTCTGTTTAGTCAGCTGAAATTATCCCGTTTCCAACGAATTCCTCAGAGAGGTCCAAATATGCACTTGCAGATTCTGCAGAAAGTGTGTTTCTAAACTGCTACATCGCAAGGAATGCTCAGCTCTGTGAGTTCAAATCAATCATCCCAAACAATTTTCTGAGAAAGCTTCTGTCTAGATGTCGTGTGAAGATATACCCGTTTCGAACGAAGGACACAGAGTGGTCCAAATATCCACTTGTAGATCCTGCAAAAAGAGTGTTTCAAACGTGAACTTTGAAAGGAAAGTTCAACTCTGGGATTTGAATGCAAACATCACAAAGAAGATTCTGAGACTGCTTCTGTATAGTTTTTATGTGAAGATGATTCCGTTTCCAACGAAATCTTCAAAGAGGTCTACATGTCCCCTTGCAGATGCCACAGAAAGAGAGTTTCAAAACTGCGCTCTCAAAAGGAGTGTTCAACTCCGTGAGTTGAATGCAGTCATCACAGAGAAGCTTCTGAGAATGCTTCTATCTAGTATTTAGGTGAAGATATTTCCTTTTCCACCACAAACCACAAAGCCCTCCAAACGTCCACTTGCAGATTCTAGAAAAAGAGTGTTTCATAGCTGCTCTTTCCAAAGGAAAGTTCAACTCTGGGAGTTGAATACAAACATCACCAAAAAGTTCCTGAGAATGCATCTGTCTAGTTTTTCTATGAAGCTATTCCCTTTACTACCATAGGCCTCAAAGCGCTCCAAATCTCCACTTGCACATTCCACAACAAGAGTGTTTCCAAACTGCTCTATCAATAGGAATGTTCAACTCTGTGAGGTGAATGCAATCATCACAAAGCAGTTTCTGAGAATGCTTCCGTTTAGTTAGGTGCAGTTATCCCGTTTCCAACGAAATCCTCAGAGAGGTCCAAATATCCACTTGTAGATTCTACAAAAAGTGTGTCTCAAACCTGCTCCATCCAAAGGAATGGTCAGCTCTGTGATTTAAACTCAATCATCACAAAGTATTTTCTGAGAATGCTTCTGTCTAGATTTTATGCGAAGATATACCCGTTTCGAACGAAGGCCACAGAGTGGTCCAAATAGCCACTTGCAGATCCTACAGAAAGAGTGTTTCAAACCTGAACTATCAAAGGAAGGTTCAACTCTGGGATTTGAATGCAAACATCACCAAGAAGTTTCTGAGAATGCTTCTGTTTAGTTTTTATGTGAAGATATTCCCGTTTCCAAAGACATCTTCGGAGAGGTCCACATATCCACTTGCAGATTCCACAAAAAGAGAGTTTCAACACTGCTCTATCCATAGGAGGGTTCAACTCTGTGAGTTGAATGCAATCATCACAGAGAAGTTTCTGAGAAGGCTTCTCTCCAGTTTTTATGTGACCATAATTCGTTTTCCACCACAGGCCTGAAAGCGCTCCAAATGTCCACTTGCAGACACTACGAAAAGCATGTTTCAGAACTACTCTATGAAAAGCAACGTGAAACTCTGGGAGTTGAACACAAACATCACAGAGAAGTTTCTGAGAATGCTTCTGTTTTAGTTCTGTGCGTTTTATCCCGTTTCCAACGAAATCCTCAGAGAGGCCCAAATATCCACTTGCAGATTCCACAGAAAGAGTGATTGGAAACTGCTGTTTGAAAAGGAACCTTCAACTCTGTGAGTTGAATGCAATCATCACAAAGAAGTTTCTGACAATGCTTCTATCTAGCTTTTACGGGAAGATAATTCCTTTTCCACCCCAGGCCTCAAAGCTCCCCAAATGTCCACATGCACATTCTGGAAAAAGAGTGTTTCAAAGCTTCTCTCTCGAAAGGAAAGTTCAACTCTGTGAGTTGAATGCAAGCATCACAAAGAAGTTTCTGAGAATGCTGCTGTCTAGCTTTTATATGAAACTATTTCCTTTACTACCATAGGCCTCAAAGCGGTCCATAGCTCCACTTGCAGATTCTACACAAAGAGAGTTTCCAAACTGCTCTGTCAAAGGGAATGTTCAACTCTGTGACTTGAATGCAATCATCACAAAGTAGTTTCTGAGAATGCTTCTGTTTTAGTTCTGTGCGGTTTATCCCGTTTCCAACGAAATCCTCAGAGAGGCCCAAATATCCACTTGCACATTCTACAAAGAGTGTGTTTCGAAACTGCTCCATCCAAAGGAATGTTCAGCTCTGTGAGTTAAACTCAGTCGTCACCAAGAGTTTTCTGTGAATGCTTCTGTTTTAGTTCTGTGCGGGTTATCCCGTTTCCAACGAAATCCTCAGAGAGGTCCAAATATCTACTTGCAGTTTCTACAGAAAGACCGTTTCAAACCTGAACTATCAAAGAAAGGTTCAACACTGTGAGTTGAATGCAAACATCACGAAGAAGGTTCTGAGAATGCTTCTGTTTAGTTCTGTGCGGTTTATCCCGTTTCCAACGAAATCCTCAGAGAGGACCAAATATCCACTTGCAGTTTCTACAAGAAGAGTGTTTCAAAGCTGAACTATCAAAGAAAGGTTCAGCACTGTGAGTTGAATGCAAACATCACGAAGAGGGTTCTGAGAATGCTTCTGTCTTCTTTCTATAGGAAGTTATTTCCTTTACTACGGTAGGCCTCAAAGAAGTGCAATTATCCCCTTGCAGTTTCTACAAAAAGAGTGTTTCAAACCTGAACTATCAAAGAAAGGTTCCACACTGTGAGTTGAATGCAGACATCACGAAGAAGGTTCTGAGAATGCTTCTGTTTAGTCAGCTGAAATTATCCCGTTTCCAACGAATTCCTCAGAGAGGTCCAAATATGCACTTGCAGATTCTGCAGAAAATGTGTTTCTAAACTGCTACATCGCAAGGAATGTTCAGCTCTGTGAGTTCAACTCAATCATCCCAAAGAATTTTCTGAGAAAGCTTCTGTCTAGATGTCGTGTGAAGATATACCCGTTTCGAACGAAGGACACAGAGTGGTCCAAATATCCACTTGTAGATCCTGCAAAAAGAGTGTTTCAAACGTGAACTTTGAAAGGAAAGTTCAACTCTGGGATTTGAATGCAAACATCACAAAGAAGATTCTGAGACTGCTTCTGTATAGTTTTTATGTGAAGATGATTCCGTTTCCAACGAAATCTTCAAAGAGGTCTACATGTCCCCTTGCAGATGCCACAGAAAGAGAGTTTCAAAACTGCGCTCTCAAAAGGAGTGTTCAACTCCGTGAGTTGAATGCAGTCATCACAGAGAAGCTTCTGAGAATGCTTCTATCTAGTATTTAGGTGAAGATATTTCCTTTTCCACCACAAACCACAAAGCCCTCCAAACGTCCACTTGCAGATTCTAGAAAAAGAGTGTTTCATAGCTGCTCTTTCCAAAGGAAAGTTCAACTCTGGGAGTTGAATACAAACATCACCAAAAAGTTCCTGAGAATGCATCTGTCTAGTTTTTCTATGAAGCTATTCCCTTTACTACCATAGGCCTCAAAGCGCTCCAAATCTCCACTTGCACATTCCACAACAAGAGTGTTTCCAAACTGCTCTATCAATAGGAATGTTCAACTCTGTGAGGTGAATGCAATCATCACAAAGCAGTTTCTGAGAATGCTTCCGTTTAGTTAGGTGCAGTTATCCCGTTTCCAACGAAATCCTCAGAGAGGTCCAAATATCCACTTGTAGATTCTACAAAAAGTGTGTCTCAAACCTGCTCCATCCAAAGGAATGGTCAGCTCTGTGATTTAAACTCAATCATCACAAAGTATTTTCTGAGAATGCTTCTGTCTAGATTTTATGCGAAGATATACCCGTTTCGAACGAAGGCCACAGAGTGGTCCAAATAGCCACTTGCAGATCCTACAGAAAGAGTGTTTCAAACCTGAACTATCAAAGGAAGGTTCAACTCTGGGATTTGAATGCAAACATCACCAAGAAGTTTCTGAGAATGCTTCTGTTTAGTTTTTATGTGAAGATATTCCCGTTTCCAAAGACATCTTCGGAGAGGTCCACATATCCACTTGCAGATTCCACAAAAAGAGAGTTTCAACACTGCTCTATCCATAGGAGGGTTCAACTCTGTGAGTTGAATGCAATCATCACAGAGAAGTTTCTGAGAAGGCTTCTCTCCAGTTTTTATGTGACCATAATTCGTTTTCCACCACAGGCCTGAAAGCGCTCCAAATGTCCACTTGCAGACACTACGAAAAGCATGTTTCAGAACCACTCTATGAAAAGCAACGTGAAACTCTGGGAGTTGAACACAAACATCACAGAGAAGTTTCTGAGAATGCTTCTGTTTTAGTTCTGTGCGTTTTATCCCGTTTCCAACGAAATCCTCAGAGAGGCCCAAATATCCACTTGCAGATTCCACAGAAAGAGTGATTGGAAACTGCTGTTTGAAAAGGAACCTTCAACTCTGTGAGTTGAATGCAATCATCACAAAGAAGTTTCTGACAATGCTTCTATCTAGCTTTTACGGGAAGATAATTCCTTTTCCACCACAGGCCTCAAAGCCCTCCAAATGTCCACTTGCAGATTCTGGAAAAAGAGTGTTTCAAAGCTTCTCTCTCGAAAGGAAAGTTCAACTCTGTGAGTTGAATGCAAGCATCACAAAGAAGTTTCTGAGAATGCTACTGTCTAGCTTTTATATGTAGCTATTTCCTTTACTACCATAGGCCTCAACGCGGTCCATATCTCCACTTGCAGATTCTACACAAAGAGAGTTTCCAAACTGCTCTGTCAAAGGGAATGTTCAACTCTGTGACTTGAATGCAATCATCACAAAGTAGTTTCTGAGAATGCTTCTGTTTAGTTTTGTGCGGTTTATCCCATTTCCAACGAAATCCTCAGAGAGGCCCAAATATCCACTTGCACATTCTACAAATAGTGTGTTTCGAAACTGCTCCATCCAAAGGAATGTTCAGCTCTGTGAGTTAAACTCAGTCGTCACCAAGAGTTTTCTGTGAATGCTTCTGTTTTAGTTCTGTGCGGTTTATCCCGTTTCCAACGAAATCCTCAGAGAGGTCCAAATATCTACTTGCAGTTTCTACAGAAAGATCGTTTCAAACCTGAACTATCAAAGGAAGGTTCAACACTGTGAGTTGAATGCAAACATCACGAAGAAGGTTCTGAGAATGCTTCTGTTTAGTTCTGTGCGGTTTATCCCGTTTCCAACGAAATCCTCAGAGAGGACCAAATATCCACTTGCAGTTTCTACAAGAAGAGTGTTTCAAAGCTGAACTATCAAAGAAAGGTTCAGCACTGTGAGTTGAATGCAAACATCACGAAGAGGGTTCTGAGAATGCTTCTGTCTTCTTTTTATAGGAAGTTATTTCCTTTACTACGATAGGCCTCAAACAAGTGCAGTTATCCCCTTGCAGTTTCTACAAAAAGAGTGTTTCAAACCTGAACTATCAAAGAAAGGTTCCACACTGTGAGTTGAATGCAGACATCACGAAGAAGGTTCTGAGAATGCTTCTGTTTAGTCAGCTGAAATTATCCCGTTTCCAACGAATTCCTCAGAGAGGTCCAAATATGCACTTGCAGATTCTGCAGAAAGTGTGTTTCTAAACTGCTACATCGCAAGGAATGTTCAGCTCTGTGAGTTCCACTCAATCATCCCAAAGAATTTTCTGAGAAAGCTTCTGTCTAGATGTCATGTGAAGATATACCCGTTTCGAACGAAGGACACAGAGTGGTCCAAATATCCACTTGTAGATCCTGCAAAAAGAGTGTTTCAAACGTGAACTTTGAAAGGAAAGTTCAACTCTGGGATTTGAATGCAAACATCACAAAGAAGATTCTGAGACTGCTTCTGTATAGTTTTTATGTGAAGATGATTCCGTTTCCAACGAAATCCTCAAAGAGGTCTACATGTCCCCTTGCAGATGCCACAGAAAGAGAGTTTCAAAACTGCGCTCTCAAAAGGAGTGTTCAACTCTGTGAGTTGAATGCAGTCATCACAGAGAAGCTTCTGAGAATGCTTCTATCCAGTATTTAGGTGAAGATATTTCCTTTTCCACCACAAACCACAAAGCCCTCCAAACGTCCACTTGCAGATTCTAGAAAAAGAGTGTTTCATAGCTGCTCTTTCCAAAGGAAAGTTCAACTCTGGGAGTTGAATACAAACATCACCAAAAAGTTCCTGAGAATGCATCTGTCTAGTTTTTCTATGAAGCTATTCCCTTTACTACCACAGGCCTCAAAGCGCTCCAAATCTCCACTTGCACATTCCACAACAAGAGTGTTTCCAAACTGCTCTATCAATAGGAATGTTCAACTCTGTGAGGTGAATGCAATCATCACAAAGCAGTTTCTGAGAATGCTTCCGTTTAGTTAGGTGCAGTTATCCCGTTTCCAACGAAATCCTCAGAGAGGTCCAAATATCCACTTGTAGATTCTACAAAAAGTGTGTCTCAAACCTGCTCCATCCAAAGGAATGGTCAGCTCTGTGATTTAAACTCAATCATCACAAAGTATTTTCTGAGAATGCTTCTGTCTAGATTTTATGCGAAGATATACCCGTTTCGAACGAAGGCCACAGAGTGGTCCAAATAGCCACTTCCAGATCCTACAAAAAGAGTGTTTCAAACCTGAACTATCAAAGGAAGGTTCAACTCTGGGATTTGAATGCAAACATCACCAAGAAGTTTCTGAGAATGCTTCTGTTTAGTTTTTATGTGAAGATATTCCCGTTTCCAAAGACATCTTCGGAGAGGTCCACATATCCACTTGCAGATTCCACAAAAAGAGAGTTTCAACACTGCTCTATCCATAGGAGGGTTCAACTCTGTGAGTTGAATGCAATCATCACAGAGAAGTTTCTGAGAAGGCTTCTCTCCAGTTTTTATGTGACCATAATTCGTTTTCCACCACAGGCCTGAAAGCGCTCCAAATGTCCACTTGTAGACACTACGAAAAGCATGTTTCAGAACTACTCTATGAAAAGCAATGTGAAACTCTGGGAGTTGAACACAAACATCACAGAGAAGTTTCTGAGAATGCTTCTGTTTAGCTTTTCTGTGAAGATTATCCCGTTTCCAACGAAATCTTCAAAATAGGTCCAAATATACACTTGCAGATTCCACAGAAAGAGTGATTGGAAACTGCTGTTTGAAAAGGAACCTTCAACTCTGTGAGTTGAATGCAATCATCACAAAGAAGCTTCTGACTATGCTTCTATCTAGCTTTTACGGGAAGTTAATTCCTTTTCCACCACAGGCCTCAAAGCCCTCCAAATGTCCACTTGCAGATTCTGGAAAAAGAGTGTTTCAAAGCTTCTCTCTCGAAAGGAAAGTTCAACTCTGTGAGTTGAATGCAAGCATCACAAAGAAGTTTCTGAGAATGCTACTGTCTAGCTTTTATATGAAGCTCTTTCCTTTACTACCATAGGCCTCAAAGCGGTCCATATCTCCACTTGCAGATTCTACACAAAGAGAGTTTCCAAACTGCTCTGTCAAAGGGAATGTTCAACTCTGTGACTTGAATGCAATCATCACAAAGTAGTTTCTGAGAATGCTTCTGTTTAGTTCTGTGCGGTTTATCCCGTTTCCAACGAAATCCTCAGAGAGGCCCCAATATCCACTTGCACATTCTACAAATAGTGTGTTTCGAAACTGCTCCATCCAAAGGAATGTTCAGCTCTGTGAGTTAAACTCAGTCGTCACCAATAGTTTTCTGTGAATGCTTCTGTTTTAGTTCTGTGCGGGTTATCCCGTTTCCAACGAAATCCTCAGAGAGGTCCAAATATCTACTTGCAGTTTCTACAGAAAGACCGTTTCAAACCTGAACTATCAAAGAAAGGTTCAACACTGTGAGTTGAATGCAAACATCACGAAGAAGGTTCTGAGAATGCTTCTGTTTAGTTCTGTGCGGTTTATCCCGTTTCCAACGAAATCCTCAGAGAGGACCAAATATCCACTTGCAGTTTCTACAAAAAGAGTGTTTCAAAGCTGAACTATCAAAGAAAGGTTCAGCACCGTGAGTTGAATGCAAACATCACGAAGAGGGTTCTGAGAATGCTTCTGTCTTCTTTCTATAGGAAGTTATTTCCTTTACTACGGTAGGCCTCAAAGAAGTGCAATTATCCCCTTGCAGTTTCTACAAAAAGAGTGTTTCAAACCTGAACTATCAAAGAAAGGTTCCACACTGTGAGTTGAATGCAGACATCACGAAGAAGGTTCTGAGAATGCTTCTGTTTAGTCAGCTGAAATTATCCCGTTTCCAACGAATTCCTCAGAGAGGTCCAAATATGCACTTGCAGATTCTGCAGAAAGTGTGTTTCTAAACTGCTACATCGCAAGGAATGTTCAGCTCTGTGAGTTCCACTCAATCATCCCAAAGAATTTTCTGAGAAAGCTTCTGTCTAGATGTCGTGTGAAGTTATACCCGTTTCGAACGAAGGACACAGAGTGGTCCAAATATCCACTTGTAGATCCTGCAAAAAGAGTGTTTCAAACGTGAACTTTGAAAGGAAAGTTCAACTCTGGGATTTGAATGCAAACATCACAAAGAAGATTCTGAGACTGCTTCTGTGTAGTTTTTATGTGAAGATGATTCCGTTTCCAACGAAATCTTCAAAGAGGTCTACATGTCCCCTTGCAGATGCCACAGAAAGAGAGTTTCAAAACTGCGCTCTCAAAAGGAGTGTTCAACTCCGTGAGTTGAATGCAGTCATCACAGAGAAGCTTCTGAGGATGCTTCTATCTAGTATTTAGGTGAAGATATTTCCTTTTCCACCACAAACCACAAAGCCCTCCAAACGTCCACTTGCAGATTCTAGAAAAAGAGTGTTTCATAGCTGCTCTTTCCAAAGGAAAGTTCAACTCTGGGAGTTGAATACAAACATCACCAAAAAGTTCCTGAGAATGCATCTGTCTAGTTTTTCTATGAAGCTATTCCCTTTACTACCATAGGCCTCAAAGCGCTCCAAATCTCCACTTGCACATTCCACAACAAGAGTGTTTCCAAACTGCTCTATCAATAGGAATGTTCAACTCTGTGAGGTGAATGCAATCATCACAAAGCAGTTTCTGAGAATGCTTCCGTTTAGTTAGGTGCAGTTATCCCGTTTCCAACGAAATCTTCAGAGAGGTCCAAATATCCACTTGTAGATTCTACAAAAAGTGTGTCTCAAACCTGCTCCATCCAAAGGAATGTTCAGCTCTGTGAGTTAAACTCAATCATCACAAAGTATTTTCTGAGAATGCTTCTGTCTAGATTTTATGCGAAGATATACCCGTTTCGAACGAAGGCCACAGAGTGGTCCAAATATCCACTTGCAGATCCTACAAAAAGAGTGTTTCAAACCTGAACTATCAAAGGAAGGTTCAACTCTGGGATTTGAATGCAAACATCACCAAGAAGTTTCTGAGAATGCTTCTGTTTAGTTTTTATGTGAAGATATTCCCGTTTCCAAAGACATCTTCGGAGAGGTCCACATATCCACTTGCAGATTCCACAAAAAGAGAGTTTCAACACTGCTCTATCCATAGGAGGGTTCAACTCTGTGAGTTGAATGCAATCATCACAGAGAAGTTTCTGAGAAGGCTTCTCTCCAGTTTTTATGTGACCATAATTCGTTTTCCACCACAGGCCTGAAAGCGCTCCAAATGTCCACTTGCAGACACTACGAAAAGCATGTTTCAGAACTACTCTATGAAAAGCAATGTGAAACTCTGGGAGTTGAACACAAACATCACAGAGAAGTTTCTGAGAATGCTTCTGTTTACCTTTTCTGTGAAGATTATCCCGTTTCCAACGCAATCTTCAAAATAGGTCCAAATATCCACTTGCAGATTCCACAGAAAGAGTGATTGGAAACTGCTGTTTGAAAAGGAACCTTCAACTCTGTGAGTTGAATGCAATCATCACAAAGAAGTTTCTGACAATGCTTCCATCTAGCTTTTACGGGAAGATAATTCCTTATCCACCACAGGCCTCAAAGCCCTCCAAATATCCACTTGCACATTCTGGAAAAAGAGTGTTTCAAAGCTTCTCTCTCGAAAGGAAAGTTCAACTCTGTGAGTTGAATACAAGCATCACAAAGAAGTTTCTGAGAATGCTACTGTCTAGCTTTTATATGAAGCTATTTCCTTTACTACCATAGGCCTCAAAGCGGTCCATATCTCCACTTGCAGATTCTACACAAAGAGAGTTTCCAAACTGCTCTGTCAAAGGGAATGTTCAACTCTGTGACTTGAATGCAATCATCACAAAGTAGTTTCTGAGAATGCTTCTGTTTAGTTCTGTGCGGTTTATCCCGTTTCCAACGAAATCCTCAGAGAGGCCTAAATATCCACTTGCACATTCTACAAATAGTGTGTTTCGAAACTGCTCCATCCAAAGGAATGTTCAGCTCTGTGAGTTAAACTCAGTCGTCACCAAGAGTTTTCTGTGAATGCTTCTGTTTTAGTTCTGTGCGGGTTATCCCGTTTCCAACGAAATCCTCAGAGAGGTCCAAATATCTACTTGCAGTTTCTACAGAAAGACCGTTTGAAACCTGAACTATCAAAGAAAGGTTCAACACTGTGAGTTGAATGCAAACATCACGAAGAAGGTTCTGAGAATGCTTCTGTTTAGTTCTGTGCAGTTTATCCCGTTTCCAACGAAATGCTCAGAGAGGACCAAATATCCACTTGCAGTTTCTACAAAAAGAGTGTTTCAAAGCTGAACTATCAAAGAAAGGTTCAGCACTGTGAGTTGAATGCAAACATCACGAAGAGGGTTCTGAGAATGCTTCTGTCTTCTTTTTATAGGAAGTTATTTCCTTTACTACGGTACTCCTCAAAGAGTGCAATTATCCCCTTGCAGTTTCTACAAAAAGAGTGTTTCAAACCTGAACTATCAAAGAAAGGTTCCACACTGTGAGTTGAATGCAGACATCACGAAGAAGGTTCTGAGAATGCTTCTGTTTAGTCAGCTGAAATTATCCCGTTTCCAACGAATTCCTCAGAGAGGTCCAAATATGCACTTGCAGATTCTGCAGAAAGTGTGTTTCTAAACTGCTCCATCGCAAGGAATGTTCAGCTCTGTGAGTTCCACTCAATCATCCCAAAGAATTTTCTGAGAAAGCTTCTGTCTAGATGTCATGTGAAGATATACCCGTTTCGAACGAAGGACACAGAGTGGTCCAAATATCCACTTGTAGATCCTGCAAAAAGAGTGTTTCAAACGTGAACTTGGAAAGGAAAGTTCAACTCTGGGATTTGAATGCAAACATCACAAAGAAGATTCTGAGACTGCTTCTGTATAGTTTTTATGTGAAGATGATTCCGTTTCCAACGAAATCTTCAAAGAGGTCTACATGTCCCCTTGCAGATGCCACAGAAAGAGAGTTTCAAAACTGCGCTCTCAAAAGGAGTGTTCAACTCCGTGAGTTGAATGCAGTCATCACAGAGAAGCTTCTGAGAATGCTTCTATCTAGTATTTAGGTGAAGATATTTCCTTTTCCACCACAAACCACAAAGCCCTCCAAACGTCCACTTGCAGATTCTAGAAAAACAGTGTTTCATAGCTGCTCTTTCCAAAGGAAAGTTCAACTCTGGGAGTTGAATACAAACATCACCAAAAAGTTCCTGAGAATGCATCTGTCTAGTTTTTCTATGAAGCTATTCCCTTTACTACCATAGGCCTCAAAGCGCTCCAAATCTCCACTTGCACATTCCACAACAAGAGTGTTTCCAAACTGCTCTATCAATAGGAATGTTCAACTCTGTGAGGTGAATGCAATCATCACAAAGCAGTTTCTGAGAATGCTTCCGTTTAGTTAGGTGCAGTTATCCCGTTTCCAACGAAATCCTCAGAGAGGTCCAAATATCCACTTGTAGATTCTACAAAAAGTGTGTCTCAAACCTGCTCCATCCAAAGGAATGGTCAGCTCTGTGATTTAAACTCAATCATCACAAAGTATTTTCTGAGAATGCTTCTGTCTAGATTTTATGCGAAGATATACCCGTTTCGAACGAAGGCCACAGAGTGGTCCAAATAGCCACTTGCAGATCCTACAGAAAGAGTGTTTCAAACCTGAACTATCAAAGGAAGGTTCAACTCTGGGATTTGAATGCAAACATCACCAAGAAGTTTCTGAGAATGCTTCTGTTTAGTTTTTATGTGAAGATATTCCCGTTTCCAAAGACATCTTCGGAGAGGTCCACGTATCCACTTGCAGATTCCACAAAAAGAGAGTTTCAACACTGCTCTATCCATAGGAGGGTTCAACTCTGTGAGTTGAATGCAATCATCACAGAGAAGTTTCTGAGAAGGCTTCTCTCCAGTTTTTATGTGACCATAATTCGTTTTCCACCACAGGCCTGAAAGCGCTCCAAATGTCCACTTGTAGACACTACGAAAAGCATGTTTCAGAACTACTCTATGAAAAGCAATGTGAAACTCTGGGAGTTGAACACAAACATCACAGAGAAGTTTCTGAGAATGCTTCTGTTTAGCTTTCCTGTGAAGATTCTCCCGTTTCCAACGAAATCTTCAAAATAGGTCCAAATATCCACTTGCAGATTCCACAGAAAGAGTGATTGGAAACTGCTCTTTGAAAAGGAACCTTCAACTCTGTGAGTTGAATGCAATCATCACAAAGAAGTTTCTGACAATGCTTCTATCTAGCTTTTACGGGAAGTTAATTCCTTTTCCACCACAGGCCTCAAAGCCCTCCAAATGTCCACTTGCAGATTCTGGAAAAAGAGTGTTTCAAAGCTTCTCTCTCGAAAGGAAAGTTCAACTCTGTGACTTGAATGCAAGCATCACAAAGAAGTTTCTGAGAATGTTACTGTCTAGCTTTTATATGAAGCTATTTCCTTTACTACCATAGGCCTCAAAGCGGTCCATATCTCCACTTGCAGATTCTACACAAAGAGAGTTTCCAAACTGCTCTGTCAAAGGGAATGTTCAACTCTGTGACTTGAATGCAATCATCACAAAGTAGTTTCTGAGAATGCTTCTGTTTAGTTCTGTGCGGTTTATCCCGTTTCCAACGAAATCCTCAGAGAGGCCCAAATATCCACTTGCACATTCTACAAATAGTGTGTTTCGAAACTGCTCCATCCAAAGGAATGTTCAGCTCTGTGAGTTAAACTCAGTCGTCACCAAGAGTTTTCTGTGAATGCTTCTGTTTTAGTTCTGTGCGGGTTATCCCGTTTCCAACGAAATCCTCAGAGAGGTCCAAATATCTACTTGCAGTTTCTACAGAAAGACCGTTTCAAACCTGAGCTATCAAAGAAAGGTTCAACACTGTGAGTTGAATGCAAACATCACGAAGAAGGTTCTGAGAATGCTTCTGTTTAGTTCTGTGCAGTTTATCCCGTTTCCAACGAAATGCTCAGAGAGGACCAAATATCCACTTGCAGTTTCTACAAAAAGAGTGTTTCAAAGCTGAACTATCAAAGAAAGGTTCAGCACTGTGAGTTGAATGCAAACATCACGAAGAGGGTTCTGAGAATGCTTCTGTCTTCTTTCTATAGGAAGTTATTTCCTTTACTACGGTAGGCCTCAAAGAAGTGCAATTATCCCCTTGCAGTTTCTACAAAAAGAGTGTTTCAAACCTGAACTATCAAAGAAAGGTTCCACACTGTGAGTTGAATGCAGACATCACGAAGAAGGTTCTGAGAATGCTTCTGTTTAGTCAGCTGAAATTATCCCGTTTCCAACGAATTCCTCACAGAGGTCCAAATATGCACTTGCAGATTCTGCAGAAAGTGTGTTTCTAAACTGCTACATCGCAAGGAATGCTCAGCTCTGTGAGTTCAACTCAATCATCCCAAAGAATTTTCTGAGAAAGCTTCTGTCTAGATGTCATGTGAAGATATACCCGTTTCGAACGAAGGACACAGAGTGGTCCAAATATCCACTTGTAGATCCTGCAAAAAGAGTGTTTCAAACGTGAACTTTGAAAGGAAAGTTCAACTCGGGGATTTGAATGCAAACATCACAAAGAAGATTCTGAGACTGCTTCTGTATAGTTTTTATGTGAAGATGATTCCGTTTCCAACGAAATCTTCAAAGAGGTCTACATGTCCCCTTGCAGATGCCACAGAAAGAGAGTTTCAAAACTGCGCTCTCAAAAGGAGTGTTCAACTCCGTGAGTTGAATGCAGTCATCACAGAGAAGCTTCTGAGAGTGCTTCTATCTAGTATTTAGGTGAAGATATTTCCTTTTCCACCACAAACCACAAAGCCCTCCAAACGTCCACTTGCAGATTCTAGAAAAAGAGTGTTTCATAGCTGCTCTTTCCAAAGGAAAGTTCAACTCTGGGAGTTGAATACAAACATCACCAAAAGGTTCCTGAGAATGCATCTGTCTAGTTTTTCTATGAAGCTATTCCCTTTACTACCATAGGCCTCAAAGCGCTCCAAATCTCCACTTGCACATTCCACAACAAGAGTGTTTCCAAACTGCTCTATCAATAGGAATGTTCAACTCTGTGAGGTGAATGCAATCATCACAAAGCAGTTTCTGAGAATGCTTCCGTTTAGTTAGGTGCAGTTATCGCGTTTCCAACGAAATCCTCAGAGAGGTCCAAATATCCACTTGTAGATTCTACAAAAAGTGTGTCTCAAACCTGCTCCATCCAAAGGAATGTTCAGCTCTGTGAGTTAAACTCAATCATCACAAAGTATTTTCTGAGAATGCTTCTGTCTAGATTTTATGTGAAGATGTACCCGTTTCGAACGAAGGCCACAGAGTGGTCCAAATATCCACTTGCAGATCCTACAAAAAGAGTGTTTCAAACCTGAACTATCACAGGAAGGTTCAACTCTGGGATTTGAATGCAAACATCACCAAGAAGTTTCTGAGAATGCTTCTGTTTAGTTTTTATGTGAAGATATTCCCGTTTCCAAAGACATCTTCGGAGAGGTCCACATATCCACTTGCAGATTCCACAAAAAGAGAGTTTCAACAATGCTCTATCCATAGGAGGGTTCAAATCTGTGAGTTGAATGCAATCATCACAGAGAAGTTTCTGAGAAGGCTTCTCTCCAGTTTTTATGGGACCATAATTCGTTTTCCACCACAGGCCTGAAAGCGCTCCAAATGTCCACTTGCAGACACTACGAAAAGCATGTTTCAGAACTACTCTATGAAAAGCAATGTGAAACTCTGGGAGTTGAACACAAACATCACAGAGAAGTTTCTGAGAATGCTTCTGTTTAGCTTTTCTGTGAAGATTCTCCCGTTTCCAACGAAATCTTCAAAGAGGTCCAAATATCCACTTGCAGATTCCACAGAAAGAGTGTTTGGAAACTGCTGTTTGTAAAGGAACCTTCATCTCTGTGAGTTGAATGCAATCATCACAAAGAAGTTTCTGACAATGCTTCTATCTAGCTTTTACGGGAAGATAATTCCTTTTCCACCACAGGCCTCAAAGCCCTCCAAATGTCCACTTGCAGATTCTGGAAAAAGAGTGTTTCAAAGCTTCTCTCTCGAAAGGAAAGTTCAACTCTGTGAGTTGAATGCAAGCATCACAAAGAAGTTTCTGAGAATGCTACTGTCTAGCTTTTATATGAAGCTATTTCCTTTACTACCATAGGCCTCAAAGCGGTCCATATCTCCACTTGCAGATTCTACACAAAGAGAGTTTCCAAACTGCTCTGTCAAAGGGAATGTTCAACTCTGTGACTTGAATGCAATCATCACAAAGTAGTTTCTGAGAATGCTTCTGTTTAGTTCTGTGCGGTTTATCCCGTTTCCAACGAAATCCTCAGAGAGGCCTAAATATCCACTTGCACATTCTACAAATAGTGTGTTTCGAAACTGCTCCATCCAAAGGAATGTTCAGCTCTGTGAGTTAAACTCAGTCGTCACCAAGAGTTTTCTGTGAATGCTTCTGTTTTAGTTCTGTGCGGGTTATCCCTTTTCCAACGAAATCCTCAGAGAGGTCCAAATATCTACTTGCAGTTTCTACAGAAAGACCGTTTCAAACCTGAACTATCAAAGAAAGGTTCAACACTGTGAGTTGAATGCAAACATCACGAAGAAGGTTCTGAGAATGCTTCTGTTTTAGTTCTGTGCGGTTTATCCCGTTTCCAACGAAATCCTCAGAGAGGACCAAACATCCACTTGCAGTTTCTACAAAAAGAGTGTTTCAAAGCTGCACTATCAAAGAAAGGTTCAGCACTGTGAGTTGAATGCAAACATCACGAAGAGGGCTCTGAGAATTCTTCTGTCTTCTTTTAATAGGAAGTTATTTCCTTTACTACGGTAGGCCTCAAAGAAGTGCAATTATCCCCTTGCAGTTTCTACAAAAAGAGTGTTTCAAAGCTGAACTATCAAAGAAAGGTTCCACACTGTGAGTTGAATGCAGACATCACGAAGAAGGTTCTGAGAATGCTTCTGTTTAGTCAGCTGAAATTATCCCGTTTCCAACGAATTCCTCAGAGAGGTCCAAATATGCACTTGCAGATTCTGCAGAAAGTGTGTTTCTAAACTGCTACATCGCAAGGAATGTTCAGCTCTGTGAGTTCCACTCAATCATCCCAAAGAATTTTCTGAGAAAGCTTCTGTCTAGATGTCGTGTGAAGATATACCCGTTTCGAACGAAGGACACAGAGTGGTCCAAATATCCACTTGTAGATCCTGCAAAAAGAGTGTTTCAAACGTGAACTTTGAAAGGAAAGTTCAACTCTGGGATTTGAATGCAAACATCACAAAGAAGATTCTGAGACTGCTTCTGTGTAGTTTTTATGTGAAGATGATTCCGTTTCCAACGAAATCTTCAAAGAGGTCTACATGTCCCCTTGCAGATGCCACAGAAAGAGAGTTTCAAAACTGCGCTCTCAAAAGGAGTGTTCAACTCCGTGAGTTGAATGCAGTCATCACAGAGAAGCTTCTGAGGATGCTTCTATCTAGTATTTAGGTGAAGATATTTCCTTTTCCACCACAAACCGCAAAGCCCTCCAAACGTCCACTTGCAGATTCTAGAAAAAGAGTGTTTCATAGCTGCTCTTTCCAAAGGAAAGTTGAACTCTGGGAGTTGAATACAAACATCACCAAAAAGTTCCTGAGAATGCATCTGTCTAGTTTTTCTATGAAGCTATTCCCTTTACTACCATAGGCCTCAAAGCGCTCCAAATCTCCACTTGCACATTCCACAACAAGAGTGTTTCCAAACTGCTCTATCAATAGGAATGTTCAACTCTGTGAGGTGAATGCAATCATCACAAAGCAGTTTCTGAGAATGCTTCCGTTTAGTTAGGTGCAGTTATCGCGTTTCCAACGAAATCCTCAGAGAGGTCCAAATATCCACTTGTAGTTTCTACAAAAAGTGTGTCTCAAACCTGCTCCATCCAAAGGAATGTTCAGCTCTGTGAGTTAAACTCAATCATCACAAAGTATTTTCTGAGAATGCTTCTGTCTAGATTTTATGTGAAGATGTACCCGTTTCGAACGAAGGCCACAGAGTGGTCCAAATATCCACTTGCAGATCCTACAAAAAGAGTGTTTCAAACCTGAACTATCAAAGGAAGGTTCAACTCTGGGATTTGAATGCAAAGATCACCAAGAAGTTTCTGAGAATGCTTCTGTTTAGTTTTTATGTGAAGATATTCCCGTTTCCAAAGACATCTTCGGAGAGGTCCACATATCCACTTGCAGATTCCACAAAAAGAGAGTTTCAACACTGCTCTATCCATAGGAGGGTTCAACTCTGTGAGTTGAATGCAATCATCACAGAGAAGTTTCTGAGAAGGCTTCTCTCCAGTTTTTATGTGACCATAATTCGTTTTCCACCACAGGCCTGAAAGCGCTCCAAATGTCCACTTGTAGACACTACGAAAAGCATGTTTCAGAACTACTCTATGAAAAGCAATGTGAAACTCTGGGAGTTGAACACAAACATCACAGAGAAGTTTCTGAGAATGCTTCTGTTTTAGTTCTGTGCGTTTTATCCCGTTTCCAACGAAATCCTCAGAGAGGCCCAAATATCCACTTGCAGATTCCACAGAAAGAGTGATTGGAAACTGCTGTTTGAAAAGGAACCTTCAACTCTGTGAGTTGAATGCAATCATCACAAAGAAGTTTCTGACAATGCTTCTATCTAGCTTTTACGGGAAGATAATTCCTTTTCCACCACAGGCCTCAAAGCCCTCCAAATGTCCACTTGCAGATTCTGGAAAAAGAGTGTTTCAAAGCTTCTCTCTCGAAAGGAAAGTTCAACTCTGTGAGTTGAATGCAAGCATCACAAAGAAGTTTCTGAGAATGCTACTGTCTAGCTTTTATATGAAGCTATTTCCTTTACTACCATAGGCCTCAAAGCGGTCCATATCTCCACTTGCAGATTCTACACAAAGAGAGTTTCCAAACTGCTCTGTCAAAGGGAATGTTCAACTCTGTGACTTGAATGCAATCATCACAAAGTAGTTTCTGAGAATGCTTCTGTTTAGTTCTGTGCGGTTTATCCCGTTTCCAACGAAATCCTCAGAGAGGCCTAAATATCCACTTGCACATTCTACAAATAGTGTGTTTCGAAACTGCTCCATCCAAAGGAATGTTCAGCTCTGTGAGTTAAACTCAGTCGTCACCAAGAGTTTTCTGTGAATGCTTCTGTTTTAGTTCTGTGCGGTTTATCCCGTTTCCAACGAAATCCTCAGAGAGGTCCAAATATCTACTTGCAGTTTCTACAGAAAGACCGTTTCAAACCTGAACTATCAAAGAAAGGTTCAACACTGTGAGTTGAATGCAAACATCACGAAGAAGGTTCTGAGAATGCTTCTGTTTTAGTTCTGTGCGGTTTATCCCGTTTCCAACGAAATCCTCAGAGAGGACCAAACATCCACTTGCAGTTTCTACAAAAAGAGTGTTTCAAAGCTGCACTATCAAAGAAAGGTTCAGCACTGTGAGTTGAATGCAAACATCACGAAGAGGGCTCTGAGAATTCTTCTGTCTTCTTTTTATAGGAAGTTATCTCCTTTACTACGGTAGGCCTCAAAGAAGTGCAATGATCCCCTTGCAGTTTCTACAAAAAGAGTGTTTCAAACCTGAACTATCAAAGACAGGTTCCACACTGTGAGTTGAATGCAGACATCACGAAGAAGGTTCTGAGAATGCTTCTGTTTAGTCAGCTGAAATTATCCTATTTCCAACGAATTCCTCAGAGAGGTCCACATATGCACTTGCAGATTCTGCAGAAAGTGTGTTTCTAAACTGCTACATCACAAGGAGTGTTCAGCTCTGTTTGCTCAACTCAATCATCCCAAAGAATTTTCTGAGAAAGCTTCAGTCTAGATGTCATGTGAAGATATACCCGTTTCGAACGAAGGACGCAGAGTGGTCCAAATATCGACTTGTAGATCCTGCAAAAAGAGTGTTTCAAACGTGAACTTGGAAAGGAAAGTTCAACCCTGGGATTTGAATGCAAACATCACAAAGAAGATTCTGGGACTGCTTCTGTATAGTTTTTATGTGAAGATGATTCCGTTTCCAACGAAATCTTCAAAGAGGTCTACATGTCCCCTTGCAGATGCCACAGAAAGAGAGTTTCAAAACTGCGCTCTCAAAAGGAGTGTTCAACTCCGTGAGTTGAATGCAGTCATCACAGAGAAGCTTCTGAGAATGCTTCTATCTAGTATTTAGGTGAAGATATTTCCTTTTCCACCACAAACCACAAAGCCCTCCAAACGTCCACTTGCAGATTCTAGAAAAAGAGTGTTTCATAGCTGCTCTTTCCAAAGGAAAGTTCAACTCTGGGAGTTGAATACAAACATCACCAAAAAGTTCCTGAGAATGCATCTGTCTAGTTTTTCTATGAAGCTATTCCCTTTACTACCATAGGCCTCAAAGCGCTCCAAATCTCCACTTGCACATTCCACAACAAGAGTGTTTCCAAACTGCTCTATCAATAGGAATGTTCAACTCTGTGAGGTGAATGCAATCATCACAAAGCAGTTTCTGAGAATGCTTCCGTTTAGTTAGGTGCAGTTATCCCGTTTCCAACGAAATCCTCAGAGAGGTCCAAATATCCACTTGTAGATTCTACAAAAAGTGTGTCTCAAACCTGCTCCATCCAAAGGAATGGTCAGCTCTGTGATTTAAACTCAATCATCACAAAGTATTTTCTGAGAATGCTTCTGTCTAGATTTTATGCGAAGATGTACCCGTTTCGAACGAAGGCCACAGAGTGGTCCAAATATCCACTTGCAGATCCTACAAAAAGAGTGTTTCAAACCTGAACTATCAAAGGAAGCTTCAACTCTGGGATTTGAATGTAAACATCACCAAGAAGTTTCTGAGAATGCTTCTGTTTAGTTTTTATGTGAAGATATTCCCGTTTCCAAAGACATCTTCGGAGAGGTCCACATATCCACTTGCAGATTCCACAAAAAGAGAGTTTCAACACTGCTCTATCCATAGGAGGGTTCAACTCTGTGAGTTGAATGCAATCATCACAGAGAAGTTTCTGAGAAGGCTTCTCTCCAGTTTTTATGTGACCATAATTCGTTTTCCACCACAGGCCTGAAAGCGCTCCAAATGTCCACTTGCAGACACTACGAAAAGCATGTTTCGGAACTACTCTATGAGAAGCAATGTGAAACTCTGGGAGTTGAACACAAACATCACAGAGAAGTTTCTGAGAATGCTTCTGTTTTAGTTCTGTGCGGTTTATCCCGTTTCCAACGAAATCCTCAGAGAGGCCCAAATATCCACTTGCAGATTCCACAGAAAGAGTGATTGGAAACTGCTGTTTGAAAAGGAACCTTCAACTCTGTGAGTTGAATGCAATCATCACAAAGAAGTTTCTGACAATGCTTCTATCTAGGCTTTTACGGGAAGATAATTCCTTTTCCACCACAGGCCTCAAAGCCCTCCAAATGTCCACTTGCAGATTCTGGAAAAAGAGTGTTTCAAAGCTTCTCTCTCGAAAGGAAAGTTCAACTCTGTGAGTTGAATGCAAGCATCACAAAGAAGTTTCTGAGAATGCTACTGTCTAGCTTTTATATGAAGCTATTTCCTTTACTACCATAGGCCTCAAAGCGGTCCATATCTCCACTTGCAGATTCTACACAAAGAGTTTCCAAACTGCTCTGTCAAAGGGAATGTTCAACTCTGTGACTTGAATGCAATCATCACAAAGTAGTTTCTGAGAATGCTTCTGTTTTAGTTCTGTGCGGTTTATCCCGTTTCCAACGAAATCCTCAGAGAGGCCCACATATCCACTTGCACATTCTACAAATAGTGTGTTTCGAAACTGCTCCATCCAAAGGAATGTTCAGCTCTGTGAGTTAAACTCAGTCGTCACCAAGAGTTTTCTGTGAATGCTTCTGTTTAGTTCTGTGCGGTTTATCCCGTTTCCAACGAAATCCTCAGAGAGGACCAAATATCCACTTGCAGTTTCTACAAAAAGAGTGTTTCAAAGCTGAACTATCAAAGAAAGGTTCAGCACCGTGAGTTCAATGCAAACATCACGAAGAGGGTTCTGAGAATGCTTCTGTTTAGTTCTGTGCAGTTTATCCCGTTTCCAACGAAATGCTCAGAGAGGACCAAATATCCACTTGCAGTTTCTACAAAAAGAGTGTTTCATAGCTGAACTATCAAAGAAAGATTCAGCACTGTGAGTTGAATGCAAACATCACGAAGAGGGTTCTGAGAATGCTTCTGTCTTCTTTTTATAGGAAGTTATTTCTTTTGCTACGGTAGGCCTCAAAGAAGTGCAATTATCCCCTTGCAGTTTCTACAAAAAGAGTGTTTCAAACCTGAACTATCAAAGAAAGGTTCCACACTGTGAGTTGAATGCAGACATCTCGAAGAAGGCTCTGAGAATGCTTCTGTTTAGTCAGCTGAAATTATCCCGTTTCCAACGAATTCCTCAGAGAGGTCCAAATATGCACTTGCAGATTCTGCAGAAAGTGTGTTTCTAAACTGCTACATCACAAGGAATGTTCAGCTCTGTGACTTCAACTCAATCATCCCAAAGAATTTTCTGAGAAAGCTTCTGTCTAGATGTCATGTGAAGATATACCCGTTTCGAACGAAGGACACAGAGTGGTCCAAATATCCACTTGTAGATCCTGCAAAAAGAGTGTTTCAAACGTGAACTTTGAAAGGAAAGTTCAACTCTGGGATTTGAATGCAAACATCACAAAGAAGATTCTGAGACTGCTTCTGTATAGTTTTTATGTGAAGATGATTCCGTTTCCAACAAAATCTTCAAAGAGGTCTACATGTCCCCTTGCAGATGCCACAGAAAGAGAGTTTCAAAACTGCGCTCTCAAAAGGAGTGTTGAACTCCGTGAGTTGAATGCAGTCATCACAGAGAAGCTTCTGAGAATGCTTCTATCTAGTATTTAGGTGAAGATATTTCCTTTTCCACCACAAACCACAAAGCCCTCCAAACGTCCACTTGCAGATTCTAGAAAAAGAGTGTTTCATAGCTGCTCTTTCCAAAGGAAAGTTCAACTCTGGGAGTTGAATACAAACATCACCAAAAAGTTCCTGAGAATGCATCTGTCTAGTTTTTCTATGAAGCTATTCCCTTTACTACCATAGGCCTCAAAGCGCTCCAAATCTCCACTTGCACATTCCACAACAAGAGTGTTTCCAAACTGCTCTATCAATAGGAATGGTCAACTCTGTGAGGTGAATGCAATCATCACAAAGCAGTTTCTGAGAATGCTTACGTTTAGTTAGGTGCAGTTATCCCGTTTCCAACGAAATCCTCAGAGAGGTCCAAATATCCACTTGTAGATTCTACAAAAAGTGTGTCTCAAGCCTGCTCCATCCAAAGGAATGTTCAGCTCTGTGAGTTAAACTCAATCATCACAAAGTATTTTCTGAGAATGCTTCTGTCTAGATTTTATGCGAAGATGTACCCGTTTCGAACGAAGGCCACAGAGTGGTCCAAATATCCACTTGCAGATCCTACAAAAAGAGTGTTTCAAACCTGAACTATCAAAGGAAGGTTCAACTCTGGGATTTGAATGCAAACATCACCAAGAAGTTTCTGAGAATGCTTCTGATTAGCTTTTATGTGAAGATTTTCCCATTTCCAAAGACATCTTCGGAGAGGTCCACATATCCACTTGCAGATTCCACAAAAAGAGAGTTTCAACACTGCTCTATCCATAGGAGGGTTCAACTCTGTGAGTTGAATGCAATCATCACAGAGAAGTTTCTGAGAAGGCTTCTCTCCAGTTTTTATGTGACCATAATTCGTTTTCCACCACAGGCCTGAAAGCTCTCCAAATGTCCACTTGCAGACACTACGAAAAGCATGTTTCAGAACTACTCTATGAAAAGCAATGTGAAACTCTGGGAGTTGAACACAAACATCACAGAGAAGTTTCTGAGAATGCTTCTGTTTAGCTTTTCTGTGAAGATTCTCCCGTTTCCAACGAAATCTTCAAAGCGGTCCAAATATCCACCTGCAGATTCCACAGAAAGAGTGATTGGAAACTGCTGTTTGAAAAGGAACCTTCAACTCTGTGAGTTGAATGCAATCATCACAAAGAAGTTTCTGACAATGCTTCTATCTAGCTTTTACGGGAAGATAATTCCTTTTCCACCACAGGCCTCAAAGCCCTCCAAATGTCCACTTGCAGATTCTGGAAAAAGAGTGTTTCAAAGCTTCTCTCTCGAAAGGAAAGTTCAACTCTGTGAGTTGAATGCAAGCATCACAAAGAAGTTTCTGAGAATGCTACTGTCTAGCTTTTATATGAAGCTATTTCCTTTACTACCATAGGCCTCAAAGCGGTCCATATCTCCACTTGCAGATTCTACACAAAGAGAGTTTCCAATCTGCTCTGTCAAAGGGAATGTTCAACTCTGTGACTTGAATGCAATCATCACAAAGTAGTTTCTGAGAATGCTTCTGTTTAGTTCTGTGCGGTTTATCCCGTTTCCAACGAAATCCTCAGAGAGGCCTAAATATCCACTTGCACATTCTACAAATAGTGTGTTTCGAAACTGCTCCATCCAAAGGAATGTTCAGCTCTGTGAGTTAAACTCAGTCGTCACCAAGAGTTTTCTGTGAATGCTTCTGTTTTAGTTCTGTGCGGTTTATCCCGTTTCCAACGAAATCCTCAGAGAGGTCCAAATATCTACTTGCAGTTTCTACAGAAAGACCGTTTCAAACCTGAATTATCAAAGAAAGGTTCAACACTGTGTGTTGAATACAAACATCACGAAGAAGGTTCTGAGAATGCTTCTGTTTTAGTTCTGTGCGGTTTATCCCGTTTCCAGCGAAATCCTCAGAGAGGACCAAATATCCACTTGCAGTTTCTACAAAAAGAGTGTTTCAAAGCTGCACTATCAAAGAAAGGTTCAGCACTGTGAGTTGAATGCAAACATCACGAAGAGGGCTCTGAGAATTCTTCTGTCTTCTTTTTATAGGAAGTTATTTCCTTTACTACGGTAGGCCTCAAAGAAGTGCAATGATCCCCTTGCAGTTTCTACAAAAAGAGTGTTTCAAACCTGAACTATCAAAGAAAGGTTCCACACTGTGAGTTGAATGCAGACATCACGAAGAAGGTTCTGAGAATGCTTCTGTTTAGTCAGCTGAAATTATCCCGTTTCCAACGAATTCCTCAGAGAGGTCCACATATGCACTTGCAGATTCTGCAGAAAGGGTGTTTCTAAACTGCTACATCGCAAGGAGTGTTCAGCTCTGTTTGCTCAACTCAATCATCCCAAAGAATTTTCTGAGAAAGCTTCTGTCTAGATGTCATGTGAAGATATACCCGTTTCGAACGAAGGACACAGAGTGGTCCAAATATCCACTTGTAGATCCTGCAAAAAGAGTGTTTCAAACGTGAACTTTGAAAGGCAAGTTCAACTCTGGGATTTGAATGCAAACATCACAAAGAAGATTCTGAGACTGCTTCTGTATAGTTTTTATGTGAAGATGATTCCGTTTCCAACGAAATCTTCAAAGAGGTCTACATGTCCCCTTGCAGATGCCACAGAAAGAGAGTTTCAAAACTGCGCTCTCAAAAGGAGTGTTCAACTCCGTGAGTTGAATGCAGTCATCACAGAGAAGCTTCTGAGAATGCTTCTATCTAGTATTTAGGTGAAGATATTTCCTTTTCCACCACAAACCACAAAGCCCTCCAAACGTCCACTTGCAGATTCTAGAAAAAGAGTGTTTCATAGCTGCTCTTTCCAAAGGAAAGTTCAACTCTGGGAGTTGAATACAAACATCACCAAAAAGTTCCTGAGAATGCATCTGTCTAGTTTTTCTATGAAGCTATTCCCTTTACTACCACAGGCCTCAAAGCGCTCCAAATCTCCACTTGCACATTCCACAACAAGAGTGTTTCCAAACTGCTCTATCAATAGGAATGTTCAACTCTGTGAGGTGAATGCAATCATCACAAAGCAGTTTCTGAGAATGCTTCCGCTTAGTTAGGTGCAGTTATCCCGTTTCCAACGAAATCCTCAGAGAGGTCCAAATATCCACTTGTAGATTCTGCAAAAAGTGTGTCTCAAACCTGCTCCATCCAAAGGAATGTTCAGCTCTGTGAGTTAAACTCAATCATCACAAAGTATTTTCTGAGAATGCTTCTGTCTAGATTTTATGTGAAGATGTACCCGTTTCGAACGAAGGCCACAGAGTGGTCCAAATATCCACTTGCAGATCCTACAAAAAGAGTGTTTCAAACCTGAACTATCACAGGAAGGTTCAACTCTGGGATTTGAATGCAAACATCACCAAGAAGTTTCTGAGAATGCTTCTGTTTAGTTTTTATGTGAAGATATTCCCGTTTCCAAAGACATCTTCGGAGAGGTCCACATATCCACTTGCAGATTCCACAAAAAGAGAGTTTCAACAATGCTCTATCCATAGGAGGGTTCAAATCTGTGAGTTGAATGCAATCATCACAGAGAAGTTTCTGAGAAGGCTTCTCTCCAGTTTTTATGGGACCATAATTCGTTTTGCACCACAGGCCTGAAAGCGCTCCAAATGTCCACTTGCAGACACTACGAAAAGCATGTTTCAGAACTACTCTATGAAAAGCAACGTGAAACTCTGGGAGTTGAACACAAACATCACAGAGAAGTTTCTGAGAATGCTTCTGTTTTAGTTCTGTGCGTTTTATCCCGTTTCCAACGAAATCCTCAGAGAGGCCCAAATATCCACTTGCAGATTCCACAGAAAGAGTGATTGGAAACTGCTGTTTGAAAAGGAACCTTCAACTCTGTGAGTTGAATGCAATCATCACAAAGAAGTTTCTGACAATGCTTCTATCTAGCTTTTACGGGAAGTTAATTCCTTTTCCACCACAGGCCTCAAAGCCCTCCAAATGTCCACTTGCAGATTCTGGAAAAAGAGTGTTTCAAAGCTTCTCTCTCGAAAGGAAAGTTCAACTCTGTGAGTTGAATGCAAGCATCACAAAGAAGTTTCTGAGAATGCTACTGTCTAGCTTTTATATGAAGCTATTTCCTTTACTACCATAGGCCTCAAAGCGGTCCATATCTCCACTTGCAGATTCTACACAAAGAGAGTTTCCAAACTGCTCTGTCAAAGGGAATGTTCAACTCTGTGACTTGAATGCAATCATCACAAAGTAGTTTCTGAGAATGCTTCTGTTTAGTTCTGTGCGGTTTATCCCGTTTCCAACGAAATCCTCAGAGAGGCCCACATATCCACTTGCACCTTCTAGAAATAGTGTGTTTCGAAACTGCTCCATCCAAAGGAATGTTCAGCTCTGTGAGTTAAACTCAGTCGTCACCAAGAGTTTTCTGTGAATGCTTCTGTTTTAGTTCTGTGCGGGTTATCCCGTTTCCAACGAAATCCTCAGAGAGGTCCAAATATCTACTTGCAGTTTCTACAGAAAGACCGTTTCAAACCTGAACTATCAAAGAAAGGTTCAACACTGTGAGTTGAATGCAAACATCACGAAGAAGGTTCTGAGAATGCTTCTGTTTTAGTTCTGTGCGGTTTATCCCGTTTCCAACGAAATCCTCAGAGAGGACCAAACATCCACTTGCAGTTTCTACAAAAAGAGTGTTTCAAAGCTGCACTATCAAAGAAAGGTTCAGCACTGTGAGTTGAATGCAAACATCACGAAGAGGGCTCTGAGAATTCTTCTGTCTTCTTTCTATAGGAAGTTATTTCCTTTACTACGGTAGGCCTCAAAGAAGTGCAATTATCCCCTTGCAGTTTCTACAAAAAGAGTGTTTCAAACCTGAACTATCAAAGAAAGGTTCCACACTGTGAGTTGAATGCAGACATCACGAAGAAGGTTCTGAGAATGCTTCTGTTTAGTCAGCTGAAATTATCCCGTTTCCAACGAATTCCTCAGAGAGGTCCAAATATGCACTTGCAGATTCTGCAGAAAGTGTGTTTCTAAACTGCTACATCGCAAGGAATGTTCAGCTCTGTGAGTTCCACTCAATCATCCCAAAGAATTTTCTGAGAAAGCTTCTGTCTAGATGTCCTGTGAAGATATACCCGTTTCGAACGAAGGACACAGAGTGGTCCAAATATCCACTTGTAGATCCTGCAAAAAGAGTGTTTCAAACGTGAACTTTGAAAGGAAAGTTCAACTCTGGGATTTGAATGCAAACATCACAAAGAAGATTCTGAGACTGCTTCTGTATAGTTTTTATGTGAAGATGATTCCGTTTCCAACGAAATCTTCAAAGAGGTCTACATGTCCCCTTGCAGATGCCACAGAAAGAGAGTTTCAAAACTGCGCTCTCAAAAGGAGTGTTCAACTCCGTGAGTTGAATGCAGTCATCACAGAGAAGCTTCTGAGGATGCTTCTATCTAGTATTTAGGTGAAGATATTTCCTTTTCCACCACAAACCACAAAGCCCTCCAAACGTCCACTTGCAGATTCTAGAAAAAGAGTGTTTCATAGCTGCTCTTTCCAAAGGAAAGTTCAACTCTGGGAGTTGAATACAAACATCACCAAAAGGTTCCTGAGAATGCATCTGTCTAGTTTTTCTATGAAGCTATTCCCTTTACTACCATAGGCCTCAAAGCGCTCCAAATCTCCACTTGCACATTCCACAACAAGAGTGTTTCCAAACTGCTCTATCAATAGGAATGTTCAACTCTGTGAGGTGAATGCAATCATCACAAAGCAGTTTCTGAGAATGCTTCCGTTTAGTTAGGTGCAGTTATCCCGTTTCCAACGAAATCCTCAGAGAGGTCCAAATATCCACTTGTAGATTCTACAAAAAGTGTGTCTCAAACCTGCTCCATCCAAAGGAATGTTCAGCTCTGTGATTTAAACTCAATCATCACAAAGTGTTTTCTGAGAATGCTTCTGTCTAGATTTTATGCGAAGATATACCCGTTTCGAACGAAGGCCACAGAGTGGTCCAAATAGCCACTTGCAGATCCTACAAAAAGAGTGTTTCAAACCTGAACTATCAAAGGAAGGTTCAACTCTGGGATTTGAATGCAAACATCACCAAGAAGTTTCTGAGAATGCTTCTGTTTAGTTTTTATGTGAAGATATTCCCGTTTCCAAAGACATCTTCGGAGAGGTCCACATATCCACTTGCAGATTCCACAAAAAGAGAGTTTCAACACTGCTCTATCCATAGGAGGGTTCAACTCTGTGAGTTGAATGCAATCATCACAGAGAAGTTTCTGAGAAGGCTTCTCTCCAGTTTTTATGTGACCATAATTCGTTTTCCACCACAGGCCTGAAAGCGCTCCAAATGTCCACTTGCAGACACTACGAAAAGCATGTTTCAGAACTACTCTATGAAAAGCAACGTGAAACTCTGGGAGTTGAACACAAACATCACAGAGAAGTTTCTGAGAATGCTTCTGTTTTAGTTCTGTGCGTTTTATCCCGTTTCCAACGAAATCCTCAGAGAGGCCCAAATATCCACTTGCAGATTCCACAGAAAGAGTGATTGGAAACTGCTGTTTGAAAAGGAACCTTCAACTCTGTGAGTTGAATGCAATCATCACAAAGAAGTTTCTGACAATGCTTCTATCTAGGCTTTTACGGGAAGATAATTCCTTTTCCACCACAGGCCTCAAAGCCCTCCAAATGTCCACTTGCAGATTCTGGAAAAAGAGTGTTTCAAAGCTTCTCTCTCGAAAGGAAAGTTCAACTCTGTGAGTTGAATGCAAGCATCACAAAGAAGTTTCTGAGAATGCTACTGTCTAGCTTTTATATGAAGCTATTTCCTTTACTACCATAGGCCTCAAAGCGGTCCATATCTCCACTTGCAGATTCTACACAAAGAGAGTTTCCAAACTGCTCTGTCAAAGGGAATGTTCAACTCTGTGACTTGAATGCAATCATCACAAAGTAGTTTCTGAGAATGCTTCTGTTTAGTTCTGTGCGGTTTATCCCGTTTCCAACGAAATCCTCAGAGAGTCCCAAATATCCACTTGCACATTCTACAAATAGTGTGTTTCGAAACTGCTCCATCCAAAGGAATGTTCAGCTCTGTGAGTTAAACTCAGTCGTCACCAAGAGTTTTCTGTGAATGCTTCTGTTTTAGTTCTGTGCGGGTTATCCCGTTTCCAACGAAATCCTCAGAGAGGTCCAAATATCTACTTGCAGTTTCTACAGAAAGACCGTTTGAAACCTGAACTATCAAAGAAAGGTTCAACACTGTGAGTTGAATGCAAACATCACGAAGAAGGTTCTGAGAATGCTTCTGTTTAGTTCTGTGCGGTTTATCCCGTTTCCAACGAAATCCTCAGAGAGGACCAAATATCCACTTGCAGTTTCTACAAGAAGAGTGTTTCAAAGCTGAACTATCAAAGAAAGGTTCAGCACTGTGAGTTGAATGCAAACATCACGAAGAGGGTTCTGAGAATGCTTCTGTCTTCTTTCTATAGGAAGTTATTTCCTTTACTACGGTAGGCCTCAAAGAAGTGCAATTATCCCCTTGCAGTTTCTACAAAAAGAGTGTTTCAAACCTGAACTATCAAAGAAAGGTTCCACACTGTGAGTTGAATGCAGACATCACGAAGAAGGTTCTGAGAATGCTTCTGTTTAGTCAGCTGAAATTATCCCGTTTCCAACGAATTCCTCAGAGAGGTCCAAATATGCACTTGCAGATTCTGCAGAAAGTGTGTTTCTAAACTGCTACATCGCAAGGAATGTTCAGCTCTGTGAGTTCCACTCAATCATCCCAAAGAATTTTCTGAGAAAGCTTCTGTCTAGATGTCGTGTGAAGATATACCCGTTTCGAACGAAGGACACAGAGTGGTCCAAATATCCACTTGTAGATCCTGCAAAAAGAGTGTTTCAAACGTGAACTTTGAAAGGAAAGTTCAACTCTGGGATTTGAATGCAAACATCACAAAGAAGATTCTGAGACTGCTTCTGTATAGTTTTTATGTGAAGATGATTCCGTTTCCAACGAAATCTTCAAAGAGGTCTACATGTCCCCTTGCAGATGCCACAGAAAGAGAGTTTCAAAACTGCGCTCTCAAAAGGAGTGTTCAACTCCGTGAGTTGAATGCAGTCATCACAGAGAAGCTTCTGAGAATGCTTCTATCTAGTATTTAGGTGAAGATATTTCCTTTTCCACCACAAACCACAAAGCCCTCCAAACGTCCACTTGCAGATTCTAGAAAAAGAGTGTTTCATAGCTGCTCTTTCCAAAGGAAAGTTCAACTCTGGGAGTTGAATACAAACATCACCAAAAAGTTCCTGAGAATGCATCTGTCTAGTTTTTCTATGAAGCTATTCCCTTTACTACCATAGGCCTCAAAGCGCTCCAAATCTCCACTTGCACATTCCACAACAAGAGTTTTTCCAAACTGCTCTATCAATAGGAATGTTCAACTCTGTGAGGTGAATGCAATCATCACAAAGCAGTTTCTGAGAGTGCTTCCGTTTAATTAGGTGCAGTTATCGCGTTTCCAACGAAATTCTCAGAGAGGTCCAAATATCCACTTGTAGAATCTACAAAAAGTGTGTCTCAAACCTGCTCCATCCAAAGGAATGTTCAGCTCTGTGAGTTCAACTCAATCATCACAAAGTATTTTCTGAGAATGCTTCTGTCTAGATTTTATGCGAAGATGTACCCGTTTCGAACGAAGGCCTCAGAGTGGTCCAAATATCCACTTGCAGATCCTACAAAAAGAGTGTTTCAAACCTGAACTCTCAAAGGAAGGTTCAACTCTGGGATTTGAATGCAAACATCACCAAGAAGTTTCTGAGAATGCTTCTGTTTAGTTTTTATGTGAAGATATTCTCGTTTCCAAAGACATCTTCGGAGAGGTCCACATATCCGCTTGCAGATTCCACAAAAAGAGAGTTTCAACACTGCTCTATCCATAGGAGGGTTCAACTCTGTGAGTTGAATGCAATCATCACAGAGAAGTTTCTGAGAAGGCTTCTCTCCAGTTTTTATGTGACCATAATTCGTTTTCCACCACAGGCCTGAAAGCGCTCCAAATGTCCACTTGCAGACACTACGAAAAGCATGTTTCAGAACTACTCTATGAGAAGCAATGTGAAACTCTGGGAGTTGAACACAAACATCACAGAGAAGTTTCTGAGAATGCTTCTGTTTTAGTTCTGTGCGTTTTATCCCGTTTCCAACGAAATCCTCAGAGAGGCCCAAATATCCACTTGCAGATTCCACAGAAAGAGTGATTGGAAACTGCTGTTTGAAAAGGAACCTTCAACTCTGTGAGTTGAATGCAATCATCACAAAGAAGTTTCTGACAATGCTTCTATCTAGCTTTTACGGGAAGATAATTCCTTTTCCACCACAGGCCTCAAAGCCCTCCAAATGTCCACTTGCAGATTCTGGAAAAAGAGTGTTTCAAAGCTTCTCTCTCGAAAGGAAAGTTCAACTCTGTGAGTTGAATGCAAGCATCACAAAGAAGTTTCTGAGAATGCTACTGTCTAGCTTTTATATGAAGCTATTTCCTTTACTACCATAGGCCTCAAAGCGGTCCATATCTCCACTTGCAGATTCTACACAAAGAGAGTTTCCAAACTGCTCTGTCAAAGGGAATGTTCAACTCTGTGACTTGAATGCAATCATCACAAAGTAGTTTCTGAGAATGCTTCTGTTTAGTTCTGTGCGGTTTATCCCGTTTCCAACGAAATCCTCAGAGAGGCCCAAATATCCACTTGCACATTCTACAAATAGTGTGTTTCGAAACTGCTCCATCCAAAGGAATGTTCAGCTCTGTGAGTTAAACTCAGTCGTCACCAAGAGTTTTCTGTGAATGCTTCTGTTTTAGTTCTGTGCGGGTTATCCCGTTTCCAACGAAATCCTCAGAGAGGTCCAAATATCTACTTGCAGTTTCTACAGAAAGACCGTTTCAAACCTGAACTATCAAAGAAAGGTTCAACACTGTGAGTTGAATGCAAACATCACGAAGAAGGTTCTGAGAATGCTTCTGTTTTAGTTCTGTGCGGTTTATCCCGTTTCCAACGAAATCCTCAGAGAGGACCAAACATCCACTTGCAGTTTCTACAAAAAGAGTGTTTCAAAGCTGCACTATCAAAGAAAGGTTCAGCACTGTGAGTTGAATGCAAACATCACGAAGAGGGCTCTGAGAATTCTTCTGTCTTCTTTCTATAGGAAGTTATTTCCTTTACTACGGTAGGCCTCAAAGAAGTGCAATTATCCCCTTGCAGTTTCTACAAAAAGAGTGTTTCAAACCTGAACTATCAAAGAAAGGTTCCACACTGTGAGTTGAATGCAGACATCACGAAGAAGGTTCTGAGAATGCTTCTGTTTAGTCAGCTGAAATTATCCCGTTTCCAACGAATTCCTCAGAGAGGTCCAAATATGCACTTGCAGATTCTGCAGAAAGTGTGTTTCTAAACTGCTACATCGCAAGGAATGTTCAGCTCTGTGAGTTCCACTCAATCATCCCAAAGAATTTTCTGAGAAAGCTTCTGTCTAGATGTCGTGTGAAGATATACCCGTTTCGAACGAAGGACACAGAAGTGGTCCAAATATCCACTTGTAGATCCTGCAAAAAGAGTGTTTCAAACGTGAACTTTGAAAGGAAAGTTCAACTCTGGGATTTGAATGCTAACATCACAAAGAAGATTCTGAGACTGCTTCTGTATAGTTTTTATGTGAAGATGATTCCGTTTCCAACGAAATCTTCAAAGAGGTCTACATGTCCCCTTGCGGATGCCACAGAAAGAGAGTTTCAAAACTGCGCTCCCAAAAGGAGTGTTCAACTCCGTGAGTTGAATGCAGTCATCACAGAGAAGCTTCTGAGAATGCTTCTATCTAGTATTTAGGTGAAGATATTTCCTTTTCCACCACAAACCACAAAGCCCTCCTCATGTCCACTTGCAGACTCTAGAAAAAGAGTGTTTCATAGCTGCTCTTTCCGAAGGAAAGTTCAACTCTGGAAGTTGAATACAAACAACATCAAGGAGTTCCTGAGAACGCTTCTGTCTAGTTTTTCTATGAAGCTATTCCCTTTACTACCATAGGCCTCAAAGCGCTCCAAATCTCCACTTGCACATTCCACAAGAAGAGTGTTTCCAAACTGCTCTATCAATAGGAATGTTCAACTCTGTGAGGTGAATGCAATCATCACAAAGCAGTTTCTGAGAATCCTTCCGTTTAGTTAGGTGCAGTTATCCCGTTTCCAACGAAATCCTCAGAGAGGTCCAAATATCCACTTGTAGATTCTACAAAAAGTGTGTCTCAAACCTGCTCCATCCAAAGGAATGGTCAGCTCTGTGATTTAAACTCAATCATCACAAAGTATTTTCTGAGAATGCTTCTGTCTAGATTTTATGCGAAGATATACCCGTTTCGAACGAAGGCCACAGAGTGGTCCAAATAGCCACTTGCAGATCCTACAGAAAGAGTGTTTCAAACCTGAACTATCAAAGGAAGGTTCAACTCTGGGATTTGAATGCAAACATCACCAAGAAGTTTCTGAGAATGCTTCTGTTTAGTTTTTATGTGAAGATATTCCCGTTTCCAAAGACATCTTCGGAGAGGTCCACATATCCACTTGCAGATTCCACAAAAAGAGAGTTTCAACAATGCTCTATCCATAGGAGGGTTCAAATCTGTGAGTTGAATGCAATCATCACAGAGAAGTTTCTGAGAAGGCTTCTCTCCAGTTTTTATGGGACCATAATTCGTTTTCCACCACAGGCCTGAAAGCGCTCCAAATGTCCACTTGCAGACACTACGAAAAGCATGTTTCAGAACTACTCTATGAAAAGCAATGTGAAACTCTGGGAGTTGAACACAAACATCACAGAGAAGTTTCTGAGAATGCTTCTGTTTAGCTTTTCTGTGAAGATTCTCCCGTTTCCAACGAAATCTTCAAAGAGGTCCAAATATCCACTTGCAGATTCCACAGAAAGAGTGTTTGGAAAATGCTGATTGTAAAGGAACCTTCATCTCTGTGAGTTGAATGCAATCATCACAAAGAAGTTTCTGACAATGCTTCTATCTAGCTTTTACAGGAAGATAATTCCTTTTCCACCACAGGCCTCAAAGCCCTCCAAATGTCCACTTGCAGATTCTGGAAAAAGAGTATTTCAAAGCTTCTCTCTCGAAAGGATAGTTCAACTCTGTGAGTTGAATGCAAGCATCACAAAGAAGTTTCTGAGAATGCTACTGTCTAGCTTTTATATGAAGCTATTTCCTTTACTACCATAGTCCTCAAAGCATTCCATATCTCCACTTGCAGATTCTACACAAAGAGAGTTTCCAAACTGCTCCGTCAAAGGGAATGTTCAAATCTGTGACTTGAATGCAATCATCACAAAGTAGTTTCTGAGAATGCTTCTGTTTTAGTTCTCTGCCGTTTATCCCGTTTCCAACGAAATCCTCAGAGAGGCCCAAACATCCACCTGCAGATTCTACAAACAGTGTGTTTCGAAACTGCTCCAACCAAGGGAATGTTCAGCTCTGTGAGTTAAACTCAGTCGTCACCAGGAGTTTTCTGTGAATGCTTCTGTTTTAGTTCTGTGTGGGTTATCCCGTTTCCAACGAAATCCTCAGAGAGGTCCAAAGATCTACTTGCAGTTTCTACAGAAAGACCGTTTCAAACCTGAACTATCAAAGAAAGGTTCAACACTGTGAGTTGAATGCAAACATCACGAAGAAGGTTCTGAGAATGCTTCTGTTTTAGTTCTGTGCGGTTTATCCCGTTTCCAACGAAATCCTCAGAGAGGACCAAACATCCACTTGCAGTTTCTACAAAAAGAGTGTTTCAAAGCTGCACTATCAAAGAAAGGTTCAGCACTGTGAGTTGAATGCAAACATCACGAAGAGGGCTCTGAGAATTCTTCTGTCTTCTTTCTATAGGAAGTTATTTCCTTTACTACGGTAGGCCTCAAAGAAGTGCAATTATCCCCTTGCAGTTTCTACAAAAAGAGTGTTTCAAACCTGAACTATCAAAGAAAGGTTCCACACTGTGAGTTGAATGCAGACATCACGAAGAAGGTTCTGAGAATGCTTCTGTTTAGTCAGCTGAAATTATCCCGTTTCCAACGAATTCCTCAGAGAGGTCCACATATGCACTTGCAGATTCTGCAGAAAGTGTGTTTCTAAACTGCTACATCACAAGGAATGTTCAGCTCTGTGAGTTCCACTCAATCATCCCAAAGAATTTTCTGAGAAAGCTTCTGTCTAGATGTCATGTGAAGATATACCCGTTTCGAACGGAGGACACAGAGTGGTCCAAATATCCACTTGTAGATCCTGCAAAAAGAGTGTTTCAAACGTGAACTTTGAAAGGAAAGTTCAACTCTGGGATTTGAATGCAAACATCACAAAGAAGATTCTGAGACTGCTTCTGTATAGTTTTTATGTGAAGATGATTCCGTTTCCAACGAAATCTTCAAAGAGGTCTACATGTCCCCTTGCAGATGCCACAGAAAGAGAGTTTCAAAACTGCGCTCTCAAAAGGAGTGTTCAACTCCGTGAGTTGAATGCAGTCATCACAGAGAAGCTTCTGAGAATGCTTCTATCTAGTATTTAGGTGAAGATATTTCCTTTTCCACCACAAACCACAAAGCCCTCCAAACGTCCACTTGCAGATTCTAGAAAAAGAGTGTTTCATAGCTGCTCTTTCCAAAGGAAAGTTCAACTCTGGGAGTTGAATACAAACATCACCAAAAGGTTCCTGAGAATGCATCTGTCTAGTTTTTCTATGAAGCTATTCCCTTTACTACCATAGGCCTCAAAGCGCTCCAAATCTCCACTTGCACATTCCACAACAAGAGTGTTTCCAAACTGCTCTATCAATAGGAATGTTCAACTCTGTGAGGTGAATGCAATCATCACAAAGCAGTTTCTGAGAATGCTTCCGTTTAGTTAGGTGCAGTTATCCTGTTTCCAACGAAATCCTCAGAGAGGTCCAAATATCCACTTGTAGATTCTACAAAAAGTGTGTCTCAAACCTGCTCCATCCGAAGGAATGTTCAGCTCTGTGAGTTGAACTCAATCATCACAAAGTATTTTCTGAGAATGCTTCTGTCTAGATTTTTTGCGAAGATGTACCCGTTTCGAACGAAGGCCACAGAGTGGTCCAAATATCCACTTGCAGATCCTACAAAAAGAGTGTTTCAAACCTGAACTATCAAAGGAAGGTTCAACTCTGGGATTTGAATGCAAACATCACCAAGAAGTTTCTGAGAATGCTTCTGTTTAGTTTTTATGTGAAGATATTCCCGTTTCCAAAGACATCTTCGGAGAGGTCCACATATCCACTTGCAGATTCCACAAAAAGAGAATTTCAACACTGCTCTATCCATTGGAGGGTTCAACTCTGTGAGTTGAATGCAATCATCACAGAGAAGTTTCTGAGAAGGCTTCTCTCCAGTTTTTTTGTGACCATAATTCGTTTTCCACCACTGGCCTGAAAGCGCTCCAAACGTCCACTTGCAGACACTACGAAAAGCATGTTTCAGAACTACTCTATGAAAAGCAATGTGAAACTCTGGGAGTTGAACACAAACATCACAGAGAAGTTTCTGAGAAAGCTTCTGTTTAGCTTTTATGTGAAGATTCTCCCGTTTCCAACGAAATCTTCCAAGAGGTCCAAACATCCACTTGCAGATTCCACAGAAAGGGTGTTTGGAAACTGCTGTTTGAAAAGGAACCTTCAACTCTGTGAGTTGAATGCAATCATCACAAAGAAGTTTCTGACAATGCTTCTATCTAGCTTTTACGGGAAGATAATTCCTTTTCCACCACAGGCCTCAAAGCCCTCCAAATGTCCACTTGCAGATTCTGGAAAAAGAGTGTTTCAAAGCTTCTCTCTCGAAAGGAAAGTTCAACTCTGTGAGTTGAATGCAAGCATCACAAAGAAGTTTCTGAGAATGCTACTGTCTAGCTTTTATATGAAGCTATTTCCTTTACTACCATAGGCCTCAAAGCGGTCCATATCTCCACTTGCAGATTCTACACAAAGAGAGTTTCCAAACTGCTCTGTCAAAGGGAATGTTCAACTCTGTGACTTGAATGCAATCATCACAAAGTAGTTTCTGAGAATGCTTCTGTTTAGTTCTGGGCAGTTTATCCCGTTTCCAACAAAATCCTCAGAGAGGCCCAAATATCCACTTGCACATTCTACAAATAGTGTGTTTCGAAACTGCTCCATCCAAAGGAATGTTCAGCTCTGTGGGTTAAACTCAGTCGTCACCAAGAGTTTTCTGTGAATGCTTCTGTTTAGTTCTGTGCGGTTTATCCCGTTTCCAACGAAATCCTCAGAGAGGTCCAAATATCTACTTGCAGTTTCTACAGAAAGACCGTTTCAAACCTGAACTATCAAAGAAAGGTTCAACACTGTGAGTTGAATGCAAACATCACGAAGAAGGTTCTGAGAATGCTTCTGTCTTCTTTCAATAGGAAGTTATTTCCTTTACTACGGTAGGCCTCAAAGAAGTGCAATTATCCCCTTGCAGTTTCTACAAAAAGAGTGTTTCAAACCTGAACTATCAAAGAAAGGTTCCACACTGTGAGTTGAATGCAGACATCACGAAGAAGGTTCTGAGAATGCTTCTGTTTAGTCAGCTGAAATTATCCCGTTTCCAACGAATTCCTCAGAGAGGTCCAAATATGCACTTGCAGATTCTGCAGAAAGTGTGTTTCTAAACTGCTCCATCGCAAGGAATGTTCAGCTCTGTGAGTTCCACTCAATCATCCCAAAGAATTTTCTGAGAAAGCTTCTGTCTAGATGTCATGTGAAGATATACCCGTTTCGAACGAAGGACACAGAGTGGTCCAAATATCCACTTGTAGATCCTGCAAAAAGAGTGTTTCAAACGTGAACTTTGAAAGGAAAGTTCAACTCTGGGATTTGAATGCAAACATCACAAAGAAGATTCTGAGACTGCTTCTGTATAGTTTTTATGTGAAGATGATTCCGTTTCCAACGAAATCTTCAAAGAGGTCTACATGTCCCCTTGCAGATGCCACAGAAAGAGAGTTTCAAAACTGCGCTCTCAAAAGGAGTGTTCAACTCCGTGAGTTGAATGCAGTCATCACAGAGAAGCTTCTGAGAATGCTTCTATCTAGTATTTAGGTGAAGATATTTCCTTTTCCACCACAAACCACAAAGCCCTCCAAACGTCCACTTGCAGATTCTAGAAAAAGAGTGTTTCATAGCTGCTCTTTCCAAAGGAAAGTTCAACACTGGGAGTTGAATACAAACATCACCAAAAAGTTCCTGAGAATGCATCTGTCTAGTTTTTCTATGAAGCTATTCCCTTTACTACCATAGGCCTCAAAGCGCTCCAAATCTCCACATGCACATTCCACAACACGAGTGTTTCCAAACTGCTCTATCAATAGGAATGTTCAACTCTGTGAGGTGAATGCAATCATCACAAAGCAGTTTCTGAGAATGCTTCCGTTTAGTTAGGTGCAGTTATCCCGTTTCCAACGAAATCCTCAGAGAGGTCCAAATATCCACTTGTAGATTCTACAAAAAGTTTGTCTTAATCCTGTTCCATCCAAAGGAATGTTCAGCTCTGTGAGTTCAACTCAATCATCACAAAGTATTTTCTGAGAATGCTTCTGTCTAGATTTTATGCGAAGATATACCCGTTTCGAACGAAGGCCACAGAGTGGTCCAAATAGCCACTTGCAGATCCTACAGAAAGAGTGTTTCAAACCTGAACTATCAAAGGAAGGTTCAACTCTGGGATTTGAATGCAAACATCACCAAGAAGTTTCTGAGAATGCTTCTGTTTAGTTTTTATGTGAAGATATTCCCGTTTCCAAAGACATCTTCGGAGAGGTCCACATATCCACTTGCAGATTCCACAAAAAGAGAGTTTCAACACTGCTCTATCCATAGGAGGGTTCAACTCTGTGAGTTGAATGCAATCATCACAGAGAAGTTTCTGAGAAGGCTTCTCTCCAGTTTTTAAGTGACCATAATTCGTTTTCCACCACAGGCCTGAAAGCGCTCCAAATGTCCACTTGCAGACACTACGAAAAGCATGTTTCAGAACTACTCTATGAAAAGCAACGTGAAACTCTGGGAGTTGAACACAAACATCACAGAGAAGTTTCTGAGAATGCTTCTGTTTTAGTTCTGTGCGTTTTATCCCGTTTCCAACGAAATCCTCAGAGAGGCCCAAATATCCACTTGCAGATTCCACAGAAAGAGTGATTGGAAACTGCTGTTTGAAAAGGAACCTTCAACTCTGTGAGTTGAATGCAATCATCACAAAGAAGTTTCTGACAATGCTTCTATCTAGCTTTTACGGGAAGATAATTCCTTTTCCACCACAGGCCTCAAAGCTCCCCAAATGTCCACTTGCACATTCTGGAAAAAGAGTGTTTCAAAGCTTCTCTCTCGAAAGGAAAGTTCAACTCTGTGAGTTGAATGCAAGCATCACAAAGAAGTTTCTGAGAATGCTACTGTCTAGCTTTTATATGAAGCTATTTCCTTTACTACCATAGGCCTCAAAGCGGTCCATATCTCCACTTGCAGATTCTACACAAAGAGAGTTTCCAAACTGCTCTGTCAAAGGGAATGTTCAACTCTGTGACTTGAATGCAATCATCACAAAGTAGTTTCTGAGAATGCTTCTGTTTAGTTCTGTGCGGTTTATCCCGTTTCCAACGAAATCCTCAGAGAGGCCTAAATATCCACTTGCACATTCTACAAATAGTGTGTTTCGAAACTGCTCCATCCAAAGGAATGTTCAGCTCTGTGAGTTAAACTCAGTCGTCACCAAGAGTTTTCTGTGAATGCTTCTGTTTTAGTTCTGTGCGGGTTATCCCGTTTCCAACGAAATCCTCAGAGAGGTCCAAATATCTACTTGCAGTTTCTACAGAAAGACCGTTTCAAACCTGAACTATCAAAGAAAGGTTCAACACTGTGAGTTGAATGCAAACATCACGAAGAAGGTTCTGAGAATGCTTCTGTTTTAGTTCTGTGCGGTTTATCCCGTTTCCAACGAAATCCTCAGAGAGGACCAAACATCCACTTGCAGTTTCTACAAAAAGAGTGTTTCAAAGCTGCACTATCAAAGAAAGGTTCAGCACTGTGAGTTGAATGCAAACATCACGAAGAGGGCTCTGAGAATTCTTCTGTCTTCTTTCTATAGGAAGTTATTTCCTTTACTACGGTAGGCCTCAAAGAAGTGCAATTATCCCCTTGCAGTTTCTACAAAAAGAGTGTTTCAAACCTGAACTATCAAAGAAAGGTTCCACACTGTGAGTTGAATGCACACATCACGAAGAAGGTTCTGAGAATGCTTCTGTTTAGTCAGCTGAAATTATCCCGTTTCCAACGAATTCCTCAGAGAGGTCCAAATATGCACTTGCAGATTCTGCAGAAAGTGTGTTTCTAAACTGCTACATCGCAAGGAATGTTCAGCTCTGTGAGTTCCACTCAATCATCCCAAAGAATTTTCTGAGAAAGCTTCTGTCTAGATGTCATGTGAAGATATACCCGTTTCGAACGAAGGACACAGAGTGGTCCAAATATCCACTTGTAGATCCTGCAAAAAGAGTGTTTCAAACGTGAACTTTGAAAGGCAAGTTCAACTCTGGGATTTGAATGCAAACATCACAAAGAAGATTCTGAGACTGCTTCTGTATAGTTTTTATGTGAAGATGATTCCGTTTCCAACGAAATCTTCAAAGAGGTCTACATGTCCCCTTGCAGATGCCACAGAAAGAGAGTTTCAAAACTGCGCTCTCAAAAGGAGTGTTCAACTCCGTGAGTTGAATGCAGTCATCACAGAGAAGCTTCTGAGAATGCTTCTATCTAGTATTTAGGTGAAGATATTTCCTTTTCCACCACAAACCACAAAGCCCTCCAAACGTCCACTTGCAGATTCTAGAAAAACAGTGTTTCATAGCTGCTCTTTCCAAAGGAAAGTTCAACTCTGGGAGTTGAATACAAACATCACCAAAAAGTTCCTGAGAATGCATCTGTCTAGTTTTTCTATGAAGCTATTCCCTTTACTACCATAGGCCTCAAAGCGCTCCAAATCTCCACTTGCACATTCCACAACAAGAGTGTTTCCAAACTGCTCTATCAATAGGAATGTTCAACTCTGTGAGGTGAATGCAATCATCACAAAGCAGTTTCTGAGAATGCTTCCGTTTAGTTAGGTGCAGTTATCCCGTTTCCAACGAAATCCTCAGAGAGGTCCAAATATCCACTTGTAGATTCTACAAAAAGTGTGTCTCAAACCTGCTCCATCCAAAGGAATGGTCAGCTCTGTGATTTAAACTCAATCATCACAAAGTATTTTCTGAGAATGCTTCTGTCTAGATTTTATGCGAAGATGTACCCGTTTCGAACGAAGGCCACAGAGTGGTCCAAATATCCACTTGCAGATCCTACAAAAAGAGTGTTTCAAACCTGAACTCTCAAAGGAAGGTTCAACTCTGGGATTTGAATGCAAACATCACCAAGAAGTTTCTGAGAATGCTTCTGTTTAGTTTTTATGTGAAGATATTCCCGTTTCCAAAGACATCTTCGGAGAGGTCCACATATCCACTTGCAGATTCCACAAAAAGAGAGTTTCAACACTGCTCTATCCATAGGAGGGTTCAACTCTGTGAGTTGAATGCAATCATCACAGAGAAGTTTCTGAGAAGGCTTCTCTCCAGTTTTTATGTGACCATAATTCGTTTTCCACCACAGGCCTGAAAGCGCTCCAAATGTCCACTTGCAGACACTACGAAAAGCATGTTTCAGAACTACTCTATGAAAAGCAACGTGAAACTCTGGGAGTTGAACACAAACATCACAGAGAAGTTTCTGAGAATGCTTCTGTTTAGCTTTCCTGTGAAGATTCTCCCGTTTCCAACGAAATCTTCAAAATAGGTCCAAATATCCACTTGCAGATTCCACACAAAGAGTGATTGGAAACTGCTCTTTGAAAAGGAACCTTCAACTCTGTGAGTTGAATGCAATCATCACAAAGAAGTTTCTGACAATGCTTCTATCTAGCTTTTACGGGAAGATAATTCCTTTTCCACCACAGGCCTCAAAGCCCTCCAAATGTCCACTTGCAGATTCTGGAAAAAGAGTGTTTCAAAGCTTCTCTCTCGAAAGGAAAGTTCAACTCTGTGAGTTGAATGCAAGCATCACAAAGAAGTTTCTGAGAATGCTACTGTCTAGCTTTTATATGAAGCTATTTCCTTTACTACCATAGTCCTCAAAGCATTCCATATCTCCACTTGCAGATTCTACACAAAGAGAGTTTCCAAACTGCTCTGTGAAAGGGAATGTTCAGCTCTGTGACTTGAATGCAATCATCACAAAGTAGTTTCTGAGAATGCTTCTGTTTTAGTTCTGTGCGGTTTATCCCGTTTCCAACGAAATCCTCAGAGAGGCCCACATATCCACTAGCAGATTCTACAAATAGTGTGTTTTGAAACTGCTCCATCCAAAGGAATGTTCAGCTCTGTGAGTTAAACTCAGTCGTCACCAAGAGTTTTCTGTGAATGCTTCTGTTTTAGTTCTGTGCGGTTTATCCCGTTTCCAACGAAATCCTCAGAGAGGTCCAAATATCTACTTGCAGTTTCTACAGAAAGACCGTTTCAAACCTGAACTATCAAAGAAAGGTTCAACACTGTGAGTTGAATGCAAACATCACGAAGAAGGTTCTGAGAATGCTTCTGTTTAGTTCTGTGCGGTTTATCCCGTTTCCAACGAAATCCTCAGAGAGGACCAAATATCCACTTGCAGTTTCTACAAAAAGAGTGTTTCAAAGCTGAACTATCAAAGAAAGGTTCAGCACTGTGAGTTGAATGCAAACATCACGAAGAGGGTTCTGAGAATGCTTCTGTCTTCTTTTTATAGGAAGTTATTTCCTTTACTACGGTAGGCCTCAAAGAAGTGCAATTATCCCCTTGCAGTTTCTACAAAAAGAGTGTTTCAAACCTGAACTATCAAAGAAAGGTTCCACACTGTGAGTTGAATGCAGACATCACGAAGAAGGTTCTGAGAATGCTTCTGTTTAGTCAGCTGAAATTATCCCGTTTCCAACGAATTCCTCAGAGAGGTCCACATATGCACTTGCAGATTCTGCAGAAAGGGTGTTTCTAAACTGCTACATCGCAAGGAGTGTTCAGCTCTGTTTGCTCAACTCAATCATCCCAAAGAATTTTCTGAGAAAGCTTCTGTCTAGATGTCATGTGAAGATATACCCGTTTCGAACGAAGGACACAGAGTGGTACAAATATCCACTTGTAGATCCTGCAAAAAGAGTGTTTCAAACATGAACTTTGAAAGGAAAGTTCAACTCTGGGATTTGAATGCAAACATCACAAAGAAGATTCTGAGACTGCTTCTGTATAGTTTTTATGTGAAGATGATTCCGTTTCCAACGAAATCTTCAAAGAGGTCTACATGTCCCCTTGCAGATGCCACAGAAAGAGAGTTTCAAAACTGCGCTCTCAAAAGGAGTGTTCAACTCCGTGAGTTGAATGCAGTCATCACAGAGAAGCTTCTGAGAATGCTTCTATCTAGTATTTAGGTGAAGATATTTCCTTTTCCACCACAAACCACAAAGCCCTCCAAACGTCCACTTGCAGATTCTAGAAAAAGAGTGTTTCATAGCTGCTCTTTCCAAAGGAAAGTTCAACTCTGGGAGTTGAATACAAACATCACCAAAAAGTTCCTGAGAATGCATCTGTCTAGTTTTTCTATGAAGCTATTCCCTTTACTACCATAGGCCTCAAAGCGCTCCAAATCTCCACTTCCACATTCCACAACAAGAGTGTTTCCAAACTGCTCTATCAGTAGGAATGTTCAACTCTGTGAGGTGAATGCAATCATCACAAAGCAGTTTCTGAGAATGCTTCCGTTTAGTTAGGTGCAGTTATCCCGTTTCCAACGAAATCCTCAGAGAGGTCCAAATATCCACTTGTACATTCTACAAAAAGTGTGTCTCAAACCTGCTCCATCCAAAGGAATGTTCAGCTCTGTGAGTTAAACTCAATCATCACAAAGTATTTTCTGAGAATGCTTCTGTCTAGATTTTATGCGAAGATGTACCCGTTTCTAACGAAGGCCACAGAGTGGTCCAAATAGCCCCTTGCAGATCCTACAAAAAGAGTGTTTCAAACCTGAACTATCAAAGGAAGGTTCAACTCTGGGATTTGAATGCAAACATCACCAAGAAGTTTCTGAGAATGCTTCTGTTTAGTTTTTATGTGAAGATATTCCCGTTTCCAAAGACATCTTCGGAGAGGTCCACATATCCACTTGCAGATTCCACAAAAAGAGAGTTTCAACAATGCTCTATCCATAGGAGGGTTCAAATCTGTGAGTTGAATGCAATCATCACAGAGAAGTTTCTGAGAAGGCTTCTCTCCAGTTTTTATGTGACCATAATTCGTTTTCCACCACAGGCCTGAAAGCGCTCCAAATGTCCACTTGCAGACACTACGAAAAGCATGTTTCAGAACTACTCTATGAAAAGCAACGTGAAACTCTGGGAGTTGAACACAAACATCACAGAGAAGTTTCTGAGAATGCTTCTGTTTTAGTTCTGTGCGTTTTATCCCGTTTCCAACGAAATCCTCAGAGAGGCCCAAATATCCACTTGCAGATTCCACAGAAAGAGTGATTGGAAACTGCTGTTTGAAAAGGAACCTTCAACTCTGTGAGTTGAATGCAATCATCACAAAGAAGTTTCTGACAATGCTTCTATCTAGCTTTTACGGGAAGATAATTCCTTTTCCACCACAGGCCTCAAAACCCTCCAAATGTCCACTTGCAGATTCTGGAAAAAGAGTGTTTCAAAGCTTCTCTCTCGAAAGGAAAGTTCAACTCTGTGAGTTGAATGCAAGCATCACAAAGAAGTTTATGAGAATGCTACTGTCTAGCTTTTATATGAAGCTATTTCCTTTACTACCATAGGCCTCAAAGCGGTCCATATCTCCACTTGCAGATTCTACACAAAGAGAGTTTCCAAACTGCTCTGTCAAAGGGAATGTTCAACTCTGTGACTTGAATGCAATCATCACAAAGTAGTTTCTGAGAATGCTTCTGTTTTAGTTCTGTGCGTTTTATCCCGTTTCCAACGAAATCCTCAGAGAGGCCCAAATATCCACTTGCAGATTCTACAAATAGTGTGTTTCGAAACTGCTCCATCCAAAGGAATGTTCAGCTCTGTGAGTTAAACTCAGTCGTCACCAAGAGTTTTCTGTGAATGCTTCTGTTTTAGTTCTGTGCGGTTTATCCCGTTTCCAACGAAATCCTCAAAGTGGTCCAAATATCTACTTGCAGTTTCTACAGAAAGACCGTTTCAAACCTGAACTATCAAAGAAAGGTTCAACACTGTGAGTTGAATGCAAACATCACGAAGAAGGTTCTGAGAATGCTTCTGTTTAGTTCTGTGCGGTTTATCCCGTTTCCAACGAAATCCTCAGAGAGGACCAAATATCCACTTGCAGTTTCTACAAGAAGAGTGTTTCAAAGCTGAACTATCAAAGAAAGGTTCAGCACTGTGAGTTGAATGCAAACATCACGAAGAGGGTTCTGAGAATGCTTCTGTCTTCTTTTTATAGGAAGTTATTTCCTTTACTACGGTAGGCCTCAAAGAAGTGCAAGGATCCCCTTGCAGTTTCTACAAAAAGAGTGTTTCAAACCTGAACTATCAAAGAAAGGTTCCACACTGTGAGTTGAATGCAGACATCACGAAGAAGGTTCTGAGAATGCTTCTGTTTAGTCAGCTGAAATTATCCCGTTTCCAACGAATTCCTCAGAGAGGTCCACATATGCACTTGCAGATTCTGCAGAAAGTGTGTTTCTAAACTGCTACATCGCACGGAATGTTCAGCTCTGTTTGCTCAACTCAATCATCCCAAAGAATTTTCTGAGAAAGCTTCTGTCTAGATGTCGTGTGAAGTTATACCCGTTTCGAACGAAGGACACAGAGTGGTCCAAATATCCACTTGTAGATCCTGCAAAAAGAGTGTTTCAAACGTGAACTTTGAAAGGAAAGTTCAACTCCTGGGATTTGAATGCAAACATCACAAAGAAGATTCTGAGACTGCTTCTGTATAGTTTTTATGTGAAGATGATTCCGTTTCCAACGAAATCTTCAAAGAGGTCTACATGTCCCCTTGCAGATGCCACAGAAAGAGAGTTTCAAAACTGCGCTCTCAAAAGGAGTGTTCAACTCCGTGAGTTGAATGCAGTCATCACAGAGAAGCTTCTGAGAATGCTTCTATCTAGTATTTAGGTGAAGATATTTCCTTTTCCACCACAAACCACAAAGCCCTCCAAACGTCCACTTGCAGATTCTAGAAAAAGAGTGTTTCATAGCTGCTCTTTCCAAAGGAAAGTTCAACTCTGGGAGTTGAATACAAACATCACCAAAAAGTTCCTGAGAATGCATCTGTCTAGTTTTTCTATGAAGCTATTCCCTTTACTACCATAGGTCTCAAAACGCTCCAAATCTCCACTTGCACATTCCACAACAAGAGTGTTTCCAAACTGCTCTATCAATAGGAATGTTCAACTCTGTGAGGTGAATGCAATCATCACAAAGCAGTTTCTGGGAATGCTTCCGTTTAGTTAGGTGCAGTTATCCCGTTTCCAACGAAATCCTCAGAGAGGTCCAAATATCCACTTGTAGATTCTACAAAAAGTGTGTCTCAAACCTGCTCCATCCAAAGGAATGTTCAGCTCTGTGAGTTAAACTCAATCATCACAAAGTATTTTCTGAGAATGCTTCTGTCTAGATTTTATGCGAAGATATACCCGTTTCGAACGAAGGCCACAGAGTGGTCCAAATAGCCACTTGCAGATCCTACAAAAAGAGTGTTTCAAACCTGAACTATCAAAGGAAGGTTCAACTCTGGGATTTGAATGCAAACATCACCAAGAAGTTTCTGAGAATGCTTCTGTTTAGTTTTTATGTGAAGATATTCCCGTTTCCAAAGACATCTTCGGAGAGGTCCACATATCCACTTGCAGATTCCACAAAAAGAGAGTTTCAACACTGCTCTATCCATAGGAGGGTTCAACTCTGTGAGTTGAATGCAATCATCACAGAGAAGTTTCTGAGAAGGCTTCTCTCCAGTTTTTATGTGACCATAATTCGTTTTCCACCACAGGCCTGAAAGCGCTCCAAATGTCCACTTGCAGACACTACGAAAAGCATGTTTCAGAACTACTCTATGAGAAGCAATGTGAAACTCTGGGAGTTGAACACAAACATCACAGAGAAGTTTCTGAGAATGCTTCTGTTTAGCTTTTCTGTGAAGATTCTCCCGTTTCCAACGAAATCTTCAAAGAGGTCCAAATATCCACTTGCAGATTCCACAGAAAGAGTGTTTGGAAACTGCTGTTTGTAAAGGAACCTTCATCTCTGTGAGTTGAATGCAATCATCACAAAGAAGTTTCTGACAATGCTTCTATCTAGCTTTTACGGGAAGATAATTCCTTTTCCACCACAGGCCTCAAAGCCCTCCAAATGTCCACTTGCAGATTCTGGAAAAAGAGTGTTTCAAGGCTTCTCTCTCGAAAGGAAAGTTCAACTCTGTGAGTTGAATGCAAGCATCACAAAGAAGTTTCTGAGAATGCTACTGTCTAGCTTTTATATGAAGCTATTTCCTTTACTACCATAGGCCTCAAAGCGGTCCATATCTCCACTTGCAGATTCTACACAAAGAGAGTTTCCAAACTGCTCTGTCAAAGGGAATGTTCAACTCTGTGACTTGAATGCAATCATCACAAAGTAGTTTCTGAGAATGCTTCTGTTTAGTTCTGTGCGGTTTATCCCGTTTCCAACGAAATCCTCAGAGAGGCCCAAATATCCACTTGCACATTCTACAAATAGTGTGTTTCGAAACGGCTCCATCCAAAGGAATGTTCAGCTCTGTGAGTTAAACTCAGTCGTCACCAAGACTTTTCTGTGAATGCTTCTGTTTTAGTTCTGTGCGGGTTATCCCGTTTCCAACGAAATCCTCAGAGCGGTCCAAATATCTACTTGCAGTTTCTACAGAAAGACCGTTTCAAACCTGAACTATCAAAGAAAGGTTCAACACTGTGAGTTGAATGCAAACATCACGAAGAAGGTTCTGAGAATGCTTCTGTTTAGTTCTGTGCGGTTTATCCCGTTTCCAACGAAATCCTCAGAGAGGACCAAATATCCACTTGCAGTTTCTACAAGAAGAGTGTTTCAAAGCTGAACTATCAAAGAAAGGTTCAGCACTGTGAGTTGAATGCAAACATCACGAAGAGGGTTCTGAGAATGCTTCTGTCTTCTTTTTATAATAAGTTATTTCCTTTGCTACGGTAGGCCTCAAAGAAGTGCAATTATCCCCTTGCAGTTTCTACAAAAAGAGTGTTTCAAACCTGAACTATCAAAGAAAGGTTCCACACTGTGAGTTGAATGCAGACATCACGAAGAAGGTTCTGAGAATGCTTCCGTTTAGTTATGTGCAGTTATCCCGTTTCCAACGAAATCCTCAGAGAGGTCCAAATATCCACTTGTAGATTCTACAAAAAGTGTGTCTCAAACCTGCTCCATTCAAAGGAATGTTCAGCTCTGTGAGTTCAACTCAATCATCCCAAAGAATTTTCTGAGAAAGCTTCTGTCTAGATGTCATGTGAAGATATACCCGTTTCGAACGAAGGACACAGAGTGGTCCAAATATCCACTTGTAGATCCTGCAAAAAGAGTGTTTCAAACGTGAACTTTGAAAGGAAAGTTCAACTCTGGGATTTGAATGCAAACATCACAAAGAAGATTCTGAGACTGCTTCTGTATAGTTTTTATGTGAAGATGATTCCGTTTCCAACGAAATCTTCAAAGAGGTCTACATGTCCCCTTGCAGATGCCACAGAAAGAGAGTTTCAAAACTGCGCTCTCAAAAGGAGTGTTCAACTCCGTGAGTTGAATGCAGTCATCACAGAGAAGCTTCTGAGAATGCTTCTATCTAGTATTTAGGTGAAGATATTTCCTTTTCCACCACAAACCACAAAGCCCTCCAAACGTCCACTTGCAGATTCTAGAAAAAGAGTGTTTCATAGCTGCTCTTTCCAAAGGAAAGTTCAACTCTGGGAGTTGAATACAAACATCACCAAAAGGTTCCTGAGAATGCATCTGTCTAGTTTTTCTATGAAGCTATTCCCTTTACTACCATAGGCCTCAAAGCGCTCCAAATCTCCACTTGCACATTCCACAACAAGAGTGTTTCCAAACTGCTCTATCAATAGGAATGTTCAACTCTGTGAGGTGAATGCAATCATCACAAAGCAGTTTCTGAGAATGCTTCCGTTTAGTTAGGTGCAGTTATCCCGTTTCCAACGAAATCCTCAGAGAGGTCCAAATATCCACTTGTAGATTCTACAAAAAGTGTGTCTCAAACCTGCTCCATCCAAAGGAATGGTCAGCTCTGTGATTTAAACTCAATCATCACAAAGTATTTTCTGAGAATGCTTCTGTCTAGATTTTATGCGAAGATATACCCGTTTCGAACGAAGGCCACAGAGTGGTCCAAATAGCCACTTGCAGATCCTACAGAAAGAGTGTTTCAAACCTGAACTATCAAAGGAAGGTTCAACTCTGGGATTTGAATGCAAACATCACCAAGAAGTTTCTGAGAATGCTTCTGTTTAGTTTTTATGTGAAGATATTCCCGTTTCCAAAGACATCTTCGGAGAGGTCCACATATCCACTTGCAGATTCCACAAAAAGAGAGTTTCAACACTGCTCTATCCATAGGAGGGTTCAACTCTGTGAGTTGAATGCAATCATCACAGAGAAGTTTCTGAGAAGGCTTCTCTCCAGTTTTTATGTGACCATAATTCGTTTTCCACCACAGGCCTGAAAGCGCTCCAAATGTCCACTTGCAGACACTACGAAAAGCATGTTTCAGAACTACTCTATGAAAAGCAATGTGAAACTCTGGGAGTTGAACACAAACATCACAGAGAAGTTTCTGAGAATGCTTCTCTTTAGCTTTTCTGTGAAGATTCTCCCGTTTCCAACGAAATCTTCAAAGAGGTCGAAATATCCACTTGCAGATTCCACAGAAAGAGTGATTGGAAACTGCTCTTTGAAAAGGAACCTTCAACTCTGTGAGTTGAATGCAATCATCACAAAGAAGTTTCTGACAATGCTTCTATCTAGCTTTTACGGGAAGATAATTCCTTTTCCACCACAGGCCTCAAAGCCCTCCAAATGTCCACTTGCAGATTCTGGAAAAAGAGTGTTTCAAAGCTTCTCTCTCGAAAGGAAAGTTCAACTCTGTGAGTTGAATGCAAGCATCACAAAGAAGTTTCTGAGAATGCTACTGTCTAGCTTTTATATGAAGCTATTTCCTTTACTACCATAGGCCTCAAAGCGGTCCATATCTCCACTTGCAGATTATACACAAAGAGAGTTTCCAAACTGCTCTGTCGAAGGGAATGTTCAACTCTGTGACTTGAATGCAATCATCACAAAGTAGTTTCTGAGAATGCTTCTGTTTTAGTTCTGTGCGTTTTATCCCGTTTCCAACGAAATCCTCAGAGAGGCCCAAATATCCACTTGCAGATTCTACAAATAGTGTGTTTCGAAACTGCTCCATCCAAAGGAATGTTCAGCTCTGTGAGTTAAACTCAGTCGTCACCAAGAGTTTTACTGTGAATGCTATCTGTTTTAGTTCTGTGCGGGTTATCCCGTTTCCAACGAAATCCTCAGAGAGGTCCAAATATCTACTTGCAGTTTCTACAGAAAGACCGTTTCAAACCTGAACTATCAAAGAAAGGTTCAACACTGTGAGTTGAATGCAAACATCACGAAGAAGGTTCTGAGAATGCTTCTGTTTTAGTTCTGTGCGGTTTATCCCGTTTCCAACGAAATCCTCAGAGAGGACCAAACATCCACTTGCAGTTTCTACAAAAAGAGTGTTTCAAAGCTGCACTATCAAAGAAAGGTTCAGCACTGTGAGTTGAATGCAAACATCACGAAGAGGGCTCTGAGAATTCTTCTGTCTTCTTTCTATAGGAAGTTATTTCCTTTACTACGGTAGGCCTCAAAGAAGTGCAATTATCCCCTTGCAGTTTCTACAAAAAGAGTGTTTCAAACCTGAACTATCAAAGAAAGGTTCCACACTGTGAGTTGAATGCAGACATCACGAAGAAGGTTCTGAGAATGCTTCTGTTTAGTCAGCTGAAATTAACCCGTTTCCAACGAATTCCTCAGAGAGGTCCAAATATGCACTTGCAGATTCTGCAGAAAGTGTGTTTCTAAACTGCTCCATCGCAAGGAATGTTCAGCTCTGTGAGTTCAACTCAATCATCCCAAAGAATTTTCTGAGAAAGCTTCTGTCTAGATGTCATGTGAAGATATACCCGTTTCGAACGAAGGACACAGAGTGGTCCAAATATCCACTTGTAGATCCTGCAAAAAGAGTGTTTCAAACGTGAACTTTGAAAGGAAAGTTCAACTCTGGGATTTGAATGCAAACATCACAAAGAAGATTCTGAGACTGCTTCTGTATAGTTTTTATGTGAAGATGATTCCGTTTCCAACGAAATCTTCAAAGAGGTCTACATGTCCCCTTGCAGATGCCACAGAAAGAGAGTTTCAAAACTGCGCTCTCAAAAGGAGTGTTCAACTCCGTGAGTTGAATGCAGTCATCACAGAGAAGCTTCTGAGAATGCTTCTATCTAGTATTTAGGTGAAGATATTTCCTTTTCCACCACAAACCACAAAGCCCTCCAAACGTCCACTTGCAGATTCTAGAAAAAGAGTGTTTCATAGCTGCTCTTTCCAAAGGAAAGTTCAACTCTGGGAGTTGAATACAAACATCACCAAAAAGTTCCTGAGAATGCATCTGTCTAGTTTTTCTATGAAGCTATTCCCTTTACTACCATAGACCTCAAAGCGCTCCAAATCTCCACTTGCACATTCCACAACAAGAGTGTTTCCAAACTGCTCTATCAATAGGAATGTTCAACTCTGTGAGGTGAATGCAATCATCACAAAGCAGTTTCTGAGAATGCTTCCGTTTAGTTAGGTGCAGTTATCGCGTTTCCAACGAAATCCTCAGAGAGGTCCAAATATCCACTTGTAGATTCTACAAAAAGTGTGTCTCAAACCTGCTCCATCCAAAGGAATGTTCAGCTCTGTGAGTTAAACTCAATCATCACAAAGTATTTTCTGAGAATGCTTCTGTCTAGATTTTATGCGAAGATATACCCGTTTCGAACGAAGGCCACAGAGTGGTCCAAATATCCACTTGCAGATCCTACAAAAAGAGTGTTTCAAACCTGAACTATCAAAGGAAGGTTCAACTCTGGGATTTGAATGCAAACATCACCAAGAAGTTTCTGAGAATGCTTCTGTTTAGTTTTTATGTGAAGATATTCCCGTTTCCAAAGACATCTTCGGAGAGGTCCACATATCCACTTGCAGATTCCACAAAAAGAGAGTTTCAACACTGCTCTATCCATAGGAGGGTTCAACTCTGTGAGTTGAATGCAATCATCACAGAGAAGTTTCTGAGAAGGCTTCTCTCCAGTTTTTATGTGACCATAATTCGTTTTCCACCACAGGCCTGAAAGCGCTCCAAATGTCCACTTGCAGACACTACGAAAAGCATGTTTCAGAACTACTCTATGAAAAGCAACGTGAAACTCTGGGAGTTGAACACAAACATCACAGAGAAGTTTCTGAGAATGCTTCTGTTTTAGTTCTGTGCGTTTTATCCCGTTTCCAACGAAATCCTCAGAGAGGCCCAAATATCCACTTGCAGATTCCACAGAAAGAGTGATTGGAAACTGCTGTTTGAAAAGGAACCTTCAACTCTGTGAGTTGAATGCAATCATCACAAAGAAGTTTCTGACAATGCTTCTATCTAGCTTTTACGGGAAGATAATTCCTTTTCCACCACAGGCCTCAAAGCCCTCCAAATGTCCACTTGCAGATTCTGGAAAAAGAGTGTTTCAAAGCTTCTCTCTCGAAAGGAAAGTTCAACTCTGTGAGTTGAATGCAAGCATCACAAAGAAGTTTCTGAGAATGCTACTGTCTAGCTTTTATATGAAGCTATTTCCTTTACTACCATAGGCCTCAAAGCGGTCCATATCTCCACTTGCAGATTCTACACAAAGAGAGTTTCCAAACTGCTCTGTCAAAGGGAATGTTCAACTCTGTGACTTGAATGCAATCATCACAAAGTAGTTTCTGAGAATGCTTCTGTTTAGTTCTGTGCGGTTTATCCCGTTTCCAACGAAATCCTCAGAGAGGCCCAAATATCCACTTGCACATTCTACAAATAGTGTGTTTCGAAACTGCTCCATCCAAAGGAATGTTCAGCTCTGTGAGTTAAACTCAGTCGTCACCAAGAGTTTTCTGTGAATGCTTCTGTTTTAGTTCTGTGCGGTTTATCCCGTTTCCAACGAAATCCTCAGAGAGGTCCAAATATCTACTTGCAGTCTCTACACAAAGACCGTTTCAAACCTGAACTATCAAAGAAAGGTTCAACACTGTGAGTTGAATGCAAACATCACGAAGAAGGTTCTGAGAATGCTTCTGTTTAGTTCTGTGCGGTTTATCCCGTTTCCAACGAAATCCTCAGAGAGGACCAAATATCCCCTTGCAGTTTCTACAAAAAGAGTGTTTCAAAGCTGAACTATCAAAGAAAGGTTCAGCACTGTGAGTTGAATGCAAACATCACGAAGAGGGTTCTGAGAATGCTTCTGTCTTCTTTGTATAGGAAGTTATTTCCTTTACTACGGTAGGCCTCAAAGAAGTGCAATTATCCCCTTGCAGTTTCTACAAAAAGAGTGTTTCAAACCTGAACTATCAAGGAAAGGTTCCACACTGTGAGTTGAATGCAGACATCACGAAGAAGGTTCTGAGAATGCTTCTGTTTAGTCAGCTGAAATTATCCCGTTTCCAACGAATTCCTCACAGAGGTCCAAATATGCACTTGCAGATTCTGCAGAAAGTGTGTTTCTAAACTGCTACATCGCAAGGAATGCTCACCTCTGTGAGTTCAACTCAATCATCCCAAAGAATTTTCTGAGAAAGCTTCTGTCTAGATGTCATGTGAAGATATACCCGTTTCGAACGAAGGACACAGAGTGGTCCAAATATCCACTTGTAGATCCTGCAAAAAGAGTGTTTCAAACGTGAACTTTGAAAGGAAAGTTCAACTCGGGGATTTGAATGCAAACATCACAAAGAAGATTCTGAGACTGCTTCTGTATAGTTTTTATGTGAAGATGATTCCGTTTCCAACGAAATCTTCAAAGAGGTCTACATGTCCCCTTGCAGATGCCACAGAAAGAGAGTTTCAAAACTGCGCTCTCAAAAGGAGTGTTCAACTCCGTGAGTTGAATGCAGTCATCACAGAGAAGCTTCTGAGGATGCTTCTATCTAGTATTTAGGTGAAGATATTTCCTTTTCCACCACAAACCACAAAGCCCTCCAAACGTCCACTTGCAGATTCTAGAAAAAGAGTGTTTCATAGCTGCTCTTTCCAAAGGAAAGTTCAACTCTGGGAGTTGAATACAAACATCACCAAAAAGTTCCTGAGAATGCATCCTGTCTAGTTTTTCTATGAAGCTATTCCCTTTACTACCATAGGCCTCAAAGCGCTCCAAATCTCCACTTGCACATTCCACAACAAGAGTGTTTCCAAACTGCTCTATCAATAGGAATGTTCAACTCTGTGAGGTGAATGCAATCATCACAAAGCAGTTTCTGAGAATGCTTCCGTTTAGTTAGGTGCAGTTATCCCGTTTCCAACGAAATCCTCAGAGAGGTCCAAATATCCACTTGTAGATTCTACAAAAAGTGTGTCTCAAACCTGCTCCATCCAAAGGAATGGTCAGCTCTGTGATTTAAACTCAATCATCACAAAGTATTTTCTGAGAATGCTTCTGTCTAGATTTTATGCGAAGATATACCCGTTTCGAACGAAGGCCACAGAGTGGTCCAAATAGCCACTTGCAGATCCTACAGAAAGAGTGTTTCAAACCTGAACTATCAAAGGAAGGTTCAACTCTGGGATTTGAATGCAAACATCACCAAGAAGTTTCTGAGAATGCTTCTGTTTAGTTTTTATGTGAAGATATTCCCGTTTCCAAAGACATCTTCGGAGAGGTCCACATATCCACTTGCAGATTCCACAAAAAGAGAGTTTCAACACTGCTCTATCCATAGGAGGGTTCAACTCTGTGAGTTGAATGCAATCATCACAGAGAAGTTTCTGAGAAGGCTTCTCTCCAGTTTTTATGTGACCATAATTCGTTTTCCACCACAGGCCTGAAAGCGCTCCAAATGTCCACTTGCAGACACTACGAAAAGCATGTTTCAGAACTACTCTATGAAAAGCAACGTGAAACTCTGGGAGTTGAACACAAACATCACAGAGAAGTTTCTGAGAATGCTTCTGTTTTAGTTCTGTGCGTTTTATCCCGTTTCCAACGAAATCCTCAGAGAGGCCCAAATATCCACTTGCAGATTCCACAGAAAGAGTGATTGGAAACTGCTGTTTGAAAAGGAACCTTCAACTCTGTGAGTTGAATGCAATCATCACAAAGAAGTTTCTGACAATGCTTCTATCTAGCTTTTACGGGAAGATAATTCCTTTTCCACCACAGGCCTCAAAGCCCTCCAAATGTCCACTTGCAGATTCTGGAAAAAGAGTGTTTCAAAGCTTCTCTCTCGAAAGGAAAGTTCAACTCTGTGAGTTGAATGCAAGCATCACAAAGAAGTTTCTGAGAATGCTACTGTCTAGCTTTTATATGAAGCTATTTCCTTTACTACCATAGGCCTCAAAGCGGTCCATATCTCCACTTGCAGATTCTACACAAAGAGAGTTTCCAAACTGCTCTGTCAAAGGGAATGTTCAACTCTGTGACTTGAATGCAATCATCACAAAGTAGTTTCTGAGAATGCTTCTGTTTAGTTCTGTGCGGTTTATCCCGTTTCCAACGAAATCCTCAGAGAGGCCCACATATCCACTTGCACATTCTACAAATAGTGTGTTTCGAAACTGCTCCATCCAAAGGAATGTTCAGCTCTGTGAGTTAAACTCAGTCGTCACCAAGAGTTTTCTGTGAATGCTTCTGTTTTAGTTCTGTGCGGTTTATCCCGTTTCCAACGAAATCCTCAGAGAGGTCCAAATATCTACTTCCAGTTTCTACAGAAAGACCGTTTCAAACCTGAACTATCAAAGAAAGGTTCAACACTGTGAGTTGAATGCAAACATCACGAAGAAGGTTCTGAGAATGCTTCTGTTTAGTTCTGTGCGGTTTATCCCGTTTCCAACGAAATCCTCAGAGAGGACCAAATATCCACTTGCAGTTTCTACAAGAAGAGTGTTTCAAAGCTGAACTATCAAAGAAAGGTTCAGCACTGTGAGTTGAATGCAAACATCACGAAGAGGGTTCTGAGAATGCTTCTGTCTTCTTTTTATAGGAAGTTATTTCCTTTACTACGGTAGGCCTCAAAGAAGTGCAATTATCCCCTTGCAGTTTCCACAAAAAGAGTGTTTCAAACCTGAACTATCAAAGAAAGGTTCCACACTGTGAGTTGAATGCAGACATCACGAAGAAGGTTCTGAGAATGCTTCTGTTTAGTCAGCTGAAATTATCCCGTTTCCAACGAATTCCTCAGAGAGGTCCAAATATGCACTTGCAGATTCTGCAGAAAGTGTGTTTCTAAACTGCTACATCGCAAGGAATGTTCAGCTCTGTGAGTTCCACTCAATCATCCCAAAGAATTTTCTGAGAAAGCTTCTGTCTAGATGTCGTGTGAAGATATACCCGTTTCGAACGAAGGACACAGAGTGGTCCAAATATCCACTTGTAGATCCTGCAAAAAGAGTGTTTCAAACGTGAACTTTGAAAGGAAAGTTCAACTCTGGGATTTGAATGCAAACATCACAAAGAAGATTCTGAGACTGCTTCTGTGTAGTTTTTATGTGAAGATGATTCCGTTTCCAACGAAATCTTCAAAGAGGTCTACATGTCCCCTTGCAGATGCCACAGAAAGAGAGTTTCAAAACTGCGCTCTCAAAAGGAGTGTTCAACTCCGTGAGTTGAATGCAGTCATCACAGAGAAGCTTCTGAGGATGCTTCTATCTAGTATTTAGGTGAAGATATTTCCTTTTCCACCACAAACCACAAAGCCCTCCAAACGTCCACTTGCAGATTCTAGAAAAAGAGTGTTTCATAGCTGCTCTTTCCAAAGGAAAGTTCAACTCTGGGAGTTGAATACAAACATCACCAAAAAGTTCCTGAGAATGCATCTGTCTAGTTTTTCTATGATGCTATTCCCTTTACTACCATAGGCCTCAAAGCGCTCCAAATCTCCACTTGCACATTCCACAACAAGAGTGTTTCCAAACTGCTCTATCAATAGGAATGTTCAACTCTGTGAGGTGAATGCAATCATCACAAAGCAGTTTCTGAGAATGCTTCCGTTTAGTTAGGTGCAGTTATCGCGTTTCCAACGAAATCCTCAGAGAGGTCCAAATATCCACTTGTAGATTCTACAAAAAGTGTGTCTCAAACCTGCTCCATCCAAAGGAATGTTCAGCTCTGTGAGTTAAACTCAATCATCACAAAGTATTTTCTGAGAATGCTTCTGTCTAGATTTTATGTGAAGATGTACCCGTTTCGAACGAAGGCCACAGAGTGGTCCAAATATCCACTTGCAGATCCTACAAAAAGAGTGTTTCAAACCTGAACTATCACAGGAAGGTTCAACTCTGGGATTTGAATGCAAACATCACCAAGAAGTTTCTGAGAATGCTTCTGTTTAGTTTTTATGCGAAGATATTCCCGTTTCCAAAGACATCTTCGGAGAGGTCCACATATCCACTTGCAGATTCCACAAAAAGAGAGTTTCAACAATGCTCTATCCATAGGAGGGTTCAAATCTGTGAGTTGAATGCAATCATCACAGAGAAGTTTCTGAGAAGGCTTCCCTCCAGTTTTTATGGGACCATAATTCGTTTTCCACCACAGGCCTGAAAGCGCTCCAAATGTCCACTTGCAGACACTACGAAAAGCATGTTTCAGAACTACTCTATGAAAAGCAATGTGAAACTCTGGGAGTTGAACACAAACATCACAGAGAAGTTTCTGAGGATGCTTCTGTTTAGCTTTTCTGTGAAGATTCTCCCGTTTCCAACGAAATCTTCAAAGAGGTCCAAATATCCACTTGCAGATTCCACAGGAAGAGTGATTGGAAACTGCTGTTTGAAAAGGAACCTTCAACTCTGTGAGTTGAATGCAATCATCACAAAGAAGTTTCTGACAATGCTTCTATCTAGCTTTTACGGGAAGATAATTCCTTTTCCACCACAGGCCTCAAAGCCCTCCAAATGTCCACTTGCAGATTCTGGAAAAAGAGTGTTTCAAAGCTTCTCTCTCGAAAGGAAAGTTCAACTCTGTGAGTTGAATGCAAGCATCACAAAGAAGTTTCTGAGAATGCTACTGTCTAGCTTTTATATGAAGCTATTTCCTTTACTACCATAGGCCTCAAAGCGGTCCATATCTCCACTTGCAGATTCTACACAAAGAGAGTTTCCAAACTGCTCTGTCAAAGGGAATGTTCAACTCTGTGACTTGAATGCAATCATCACAAAGTAGTTTCTGAGAATGCTTCTGTTTAGTTCTGTGCGGTTTATCCCGTTTCCAGCGAAATCCTCAGAGAGGCCCAAATATCCACTTGCACATTCTACAAATAGTGTGTTTCGAAACTGCTCCATCCAAAGGAATGTTCAGCTCTGTGAGTTAAACTCAGTCGTCACCAAGAGTTTTCTGTGAATGCTTCTGTTTTAGTTCTGTGCGGTTTATCCCGTTTCCAACGAAATCCTCAGAGAGGTCCAAATATCTACTTGCAGTTTCTACAGAAAGACCGTTTCAAACCTGAACTATCAAAGAAAGGTTCAACACTGTGAGTTGAATGCAAACATCACGAAGAAGGTTCTGAGAATGCTTCTGTTTAGTTCTGTGCGTTTTATCCCGTTTCCAACGAAATCCTCAGAGAGGACCAAATATTCACTTGCAGTTTTTACAAAAAGAGTGTTTCAAAGCTGAACTATCAAAGAAAGGTTCAGCACTGTGAGTTGAATGCAAACATCACGAAGAGGGTTCTGAGAATGCTTCTGTCTTCTTTCTATAGGAAGTTATTTCCTTTACTACGGTAGGCCTCAAAGAAGTGCAATTATCCCCTTGCAGTTTCTACAAAAAGAGTGTTTCAAACCTGAACTATCAAAGAAAGGTTCCACACTGTGAGTTGAATGCAGACATCACGAAGAAGGTTCTGAGAATGCTTCTGTTTAGTCAGCTGAAATTATCCCGTTTCCAACGAATTCCTCAGAGAGGTCCAAATATGCACTTGCAGATTCTGCAGAAAGTGTGTTTCTAAACTGCTCCATCGCAAGGAATGTTCAGCTCTGTGAGTTCAACTCAATCATCCCAAAGAATTTTCTGAGAAAGCTTCTGTCTAGATTTCATGTGAAGATATACCCTTTTCGAACGAAGGACACAGAGTGGTCCAAATATCCACTTGTAGATCCTGCAAAAAGAGTGTTTCAAACGTGAACTTTGAAAGGAAAGTTCAACTCTGGGATTTGAATGCAAACATCACAAAGAAGATTCTGAGACTGCTTCTGTATAGTTTTGATGTGAAGATGATTCCGTTTCCAACGAAATCTTCAAAGAGGTCTACATGTCCCCTTGCAGATGCCACAGAAACAGAGTTTCAAAACTGCGCTCTCAAAAGGAGTGTTCAACTCCGTGAGTTGAATGCAGTCATCACAGAGAAGCTTCTGAGAATGCTTCTATCTAGTATTGAGGTGAAGATATTTCCTTTTCCACCACAAACCACAAAGCCCTCCAAACGTCCACTTGCAGATTCTAGAAAAAGAGTGTTTCATAGCTGCTCTTTCCAAAGGAAAGTTCAACTCTGGGAGTTGAATACAAACATCACCAAAAAGTTCCCGAGAATGCATCTGTCTAGTTTTTCTATGAAGCTATTCCCTTTACTACCATAGGCCTCAAAGCGCTCCAAATCTGCACTTGCACATTCCACAACAAGAGGGTTTCCAAACTGCTGTATCAATAGGAATGGTCAACTCTGTGAGGTGAATGCAATCATCACAAAGCAGTTTCTGAGAATGCTTCCGTTTAGTTAGGTGCAGTTATGCCGTTTCCAACGAAATCCTCAGAGAGGTCCAAATATCCACTTGTAGATTCTACAAAAAGTGTGTCTCAAACCTGCTCCATCCAAAGGAATGTTCAGCTCTGTGAGTTCAACTCAATCATCACAAAGTATTTTCTGAGAATGCTTCTGTCTAGATTTTATGTGAAGATGTACCCGTTTCGAACGAAGGCCACAGAGTGGTCCAAATATCCACTTGCAGATCCTACAAAAAGAGTGTTTCAAACCTGAACTGTCAAAGGAAGGTTCAACTCTGGGATTTGAATGCAAACATCACCAAGAAGTTTCTGAGAATGCTTCTGTTTAGTTTTTATGTGAAGATATTCCCGTTTCCAAAGACATCTTCGGAGAGGTCCACATATCCACTTGCAGGTTCCACAAAAAGAGAGTTTCAACACTGCTCTATCCATAGGAGGGTTCAACTCTGTGAGTTGAATGCAATCATCACAGAGAAGTTTCTGAGAAGGCTTCTCTCCAGTTTTTATGTGACCATAATTCGTTTTCCACCACAGGCCTGGAAGCGCTCCAAATGTCCACTTGTAGACACTACGAAAAGCATGTTTCAGAACTACTCTATGAAAAGCAATGTGAAACTCTGGGAGTTGAACACAAACATCACAGAGAAGTTTCTGAGAATGCTTCTGTTTAGCTTTTCTGTGAAGATTATCCCGTTTCCAACGAAATCTTCAAAATAGGTCGAAATATCCACTTGCAGATTCCACAGAAAGAGTGATTGGAAACTGCTCTTTGAAAAGGAACCTTCAACTCTGTGAGTTGAATGCAATCATCACAAAGAAGTTTCTGACAATGCTTCTATCTAGCTTTTACGGGAAGATAATTCCTTTTCCACCACAGGCCTCAAAGCCCTCCAAATGTCCACTTGCAGATTCTGGAAAAAGAGTGTTTCAAAGCTTCTCTCTCGAAAGGAAAGTTCAACTCTGTGAGTTGAATGCAAGCATCACAAAGAAGTTTCTGAGAATGCTACTGTCTAGCTTGTCTATGAAGCTATTTCCTTTACTACCATAGTCCTCAAAGCATTCCATATCTCCACTTGCAGATTCTACACAAAGAGAGTTTCCAAACTGCTCTGTCAAAGGGAATGTTCAGCTCTGTGACTTGAATGCAATCATCACAAAGTAGTTTCTCAGAATGCTTCTGTTTTAGTTCTGTGCGTTTTATCCCGTTTCCAACGAAATCCTCAGAGAGGCCCAAATATCCACTTGCAGATTCTACAAATAGTGTGTTTCGAAACTGCTCCATCCAAAGGAATGTTCAGCTCTGTGAGTTAAACTCAGTCGTCACCAAGAGTTTTCTGTGAATGCTTCTGTTTTAGTTCTGTGCGGTTTATCCCGTTTCCAACGAAATCCTCAGAGAGGTCCAAATATCTACTTGCAGTTTCTACAGAAAGACCGTTTCCAACCTGAACTATCAAAGAAAGGTTCAACACTGTGAGTTGAATGCAAACATCACGAAGAAGGTTCTGAGAATGCTTCTGTTTAGTTCTGTGCGGTTTATCCCGTTTCCAACGAAATCCTCAGAGAGGACCAAATATCCACTTGCAGTTTCTACAAGAAGAGTGTTTCAAAGCTGAACTATCAAAGAAAGGTTCAGCACTGTGAGTTGAATGCAAACATCACGAAGAGGGTTCTGAGAATGCTTCTGTCTTCTTTCTATAGGAAGTTATTTCCTTTACTACGGTAGGCCTCAAAGAAGTGCAATTATCCCCTTGCAGTTTCTACAAAAAGAGTGTTTCAAACCTGAACTATCAAAGAAAGGTTCCACACTGTGAGTTGAATGCAGACATCACGAAGAAGGTTCTGAGAATGCTTCTGTTTAGTCAGCTGAAATTATCCCGTTTCCAACGAATTCCTCAGAGAGGTCCACATATGCACTTGCAGATTCTGCAGAAAGTGTGTTTCTAAACTGCTACATCACAAGGAGTGTTCAGCTCTGTTTGCTCAACTCAATCATCCCAAAGAATTTTCTGAGAAAGCTTCTGTCTAGATTTCATGTGAAGATATACCCGTTTCGAACGAAGGACACAGAGTGGTCCAAATATCCACTTGTAGATCCTGCAAAAAGAGTGTTTCAAACGTGAACTTGGAAAGAAAAGTTCAACTCTGGGATTTGAATGCAAACATCACAAAGAAGATTCTGAGACTGCTTCTGTATAGTTTTGATGTGAAGATGATTCCGTTTCCAATGAAATCTTCAAAGAGGTCTACATGTCCCCTTGCAGATGCCACAGAAAGAGAGTTTCAAAACTGCGCTCTCAAAAGGAGTGTTCAACTCCGTGAGTTGAATGCAGTCATCACAGAGAAGCTTCTGAGAATGCTTCTATCTAGTATTTAGGTGAAGATATTTCCTTTTCCACCACAAACCACAAAGCCCTCCAAACGTCCACTTGCAGATTCTAGAAAAAGAGTGTTTCATAGCTGCTCTTTCCAAAGGAAAGTTCAACTCTGGGAGTTGAATACAAACATCACCAAAAAGTTCCTGAGAATGCATCTGTCTAGTTTTTATATGAAGATATTCCCTTTACTACCATAGGCCTCAAAGCGCTCCAAATCTCCACTTGCAGATTCTCCAACAAGAGTGTTTCCAAACTGCTCTCTCAATAGGAATGTTCAACTCTGTGAGGTGAATGCAATCATCACAAAGTAGTTTCTGAGAATGCTTCCCGTTTAGTTAGGTGCAGTTATCCCGTTTCCAACGAAATCCTCAGAGAGGTCCAAATATCCACTTGTAGATTCTACAAAAAGTGTGTCTCAAACCTGCTCCATCCAAAGGAATGTTCAGCTCTGTGAGTTAAACTCAATCATCACAAAGTATTTTCTGAGAATGCTTCTGTCTAGATTTTATGCGAAGATGTACCCGTTTCGAACGAAGGCCACAGAGTGGTCCAAATATCCACTTGCAGATCCTACAAAAAGAGTGTTTCAAACCTGAACTCTCAAAGGAAGGTTCAACTCTGGGATTTGAATGCAAACATCACCAAGAAGTTTCTGAGAATGCTTCTGTTTAGTTTTTATGTGAAGATATTCCAGTTTCCAAAGACATCTTCGGAGAGGTCCACATATCCACTTGCAGATTCCACAAAAAGAGAGTTTCAACACTGCTCTATCCATAGGAGGGTTCAACTCTGTGAGTTGAATGCAATCATCACAGAGAAGTTTCTGAGAAGGCTTCTCTCCAGTTTTTATGTGACCATAATTCTTTTCCACCACAGGCCTGAAAGCGCTCCAAATGCCCAATTGTAGAGACTACGAAAAGCATCTTTCAGAACTACTCTATGAAAAGCAATGTGAAACTCTGGGAGTTGAACACAAACATCACAGAGAAGTTTCTGAGAATGCTTCTGTTTAGCTTTTCTGTGAAGATTCTCCCGTTTCCAACGAAATCTTCAAAGAGGCCCAAACATCCACTTGCAGATTCCACAGAAAGAGTGTTTGGAAACTGCTGTTTGAAAAGGAACCTTCAACTCTGTGAGTTGAATGCAATCATCACAAAGAAGTTTCTGACAATGCTTCTATCCAGCTTTTACGGGAAGATAATTCCTTTTCCACCACAGGCCTCAAAGCCCTCCAAATGTCCACTTGCAGATTCTGGAAAAAGAGTGTTTCAAAGCTTCTCTCTCGAAAGGAAAGTTCAACTCTGTGAGTTGAATGCAAGCATCACAAAGAAGTTTCTGAGAATGCTACTGTCTAGCTTGTCTATGAAGCTATTTCCTTTACTACCATTGTCCTCAAAGCATTCCATATCTCCACTTGCAGATTCTACACAAAGAGAGTTTCCAAACTGCTCTGTCAAAGGGAATGTTCAGCTCTGTGACTTGAATGCAATCATCACAAAGTAGTTTCTCAGAATGCTTCTGTTTAGTTCTGTGCGGTTTATCCCGTTTCCAACGAAATCCTCAGAGAGGCCCAAATATCCACTTGCACATTCTACAAATAGTGTGTTTCGAAACTGCTCCATCCAAAGGAATGTTCAGCTCTGTGAGTTAAACTCAGTCGTCACCAAGAGTTTTCTGTGAATGCTTCTGTTTTAGTTCTGTGCGGTTTATCCCGTTTCCAACGAAATCCTCAGAGAGGTCCAAATATCTACTTGCAGTTTCTACAGAAAGACCGTTTCAAACCTGAACTATCAAAGGAAGGTTCAACACTGTGAGTTGAATGCAAACATCACGAAGAAGGTTCTGAGAATGCTTCTGTTTTAGTTCTGTGCGGTTTATCCCGTTTCCAACGAAATCCTCAGAGAGGACCAAACATCCACTTGCAGTTTCTACAAAAAGAGTGTTTCAAAGCTGCACTATCAAAGAAAGGTTCAGCACTGTGAGTTGAATGCAAACATCACGAAGAGGGCTCTGAGAATTCTTCTGTTTAGTTCTGTGCGGTTTATCCCGTTTCCAACGAAATCCTCAGAGAGGACCAAATATCCACTTGCAGTTTCTACAAGAAGAGTGTTTCAAAGCTGAACTATCAAAGAAAGGTTCAGCACTGTGAGTTGAATGCAAACATCACGAAGAGGGTTCTGAGAATGCTTCTGTCTTCTTTCTATAGGAAGTTATTTCCTTTACTACGGTAGGCCTCAAAGAAGTGCAATTATCCCCTTGCAGTTTCTACAAAAAGAGTGTTTCAAACCTGAACTATCAAAGAAAGGTTCCACACTGTGAGTTGAATGCAGACATCACGAAGGAGGTTCTGAGAATGCTTCTGTTTAGTCAGCTGAAATTATCCCGTTTCCAACGAATTCCTCAGAGAGGTCCAAATATGCACTTGCAGATTCTGCAGAAAGTGTGTTTCTAAACTGCTACATCGCAAGGAATGTTCAGCTCTGTGAGTTCCACTCAATCATCCCAAAGAATTTTCTGAGAAAGCTTCTGTCTAGATGTCGTGTGAAGATATACCCGTTTCGAACGAAGGACACAGAGTGGTCCAAATATCCACTTGTAGATCCTGCAAAAAGAGTGTTTCAAACGTGAACTTTGAAAGGAAAGTTCAACTCTGGGATTTGAATGCAAACATCACAAAGAAGATTCTGAGACTGCTTCTGTGTAGTTTTTATGTGAAGATGATTCCGTTTCCAACGAAATCTTCAAAGAGGTCTACATGTCCCCTTGCAGATGCCACAGAAAGAGAGTTTCAAAACTGCGCTCTCAAAAGGAGTGTTCAACTCCGTGAGTTGAATGCAGTCATCACAGAGAAGCTTCTGAGGATGCTTCTATCTAGTATTTAGGTGAAGATATTTCCTTTTCCACCACAAACCACAAAGCCCTCCAAACGTCCACTTGCAGATTCTAGAAAAAGAGTGTTTCATAGCTGCTCTTTCCAAAGGAAAGTTCAACTCTGGGAGTTGAATACAAACATCACCAAAAAGTTCCTGAGAATGCATCTGTCTAGTTTTTCTATGAAGCTATTCCCTTTACTACCATAGGCCTCAAAGCGCTCCAAATCTCCACTTGCACATTCCACAACAAGAGTGTTTCCAAACTGCTCTATCAATAGGAATGTTCAACTCTGTGAGGTGAATGCAATCATCACAAAGCAGTTTCTGAGAATGCTTCCGTTTAGTTAGGTGCAGTTATCCCGTTTCCAATGAAATCCTCAGTAGAGGTCCAAATATCCACTTGTAGATTCTACAAAAAGTGTGTCTCAAACCTGCTCCATCCAAAGGAATGTTCAGCTCTGTGAGTTCAACTCAATCATCACAAAGTATTTTCTGAGAATGCTTCTGTCTAGATTTTATGCGAAGATATACCCGTTTCGAACGAAGGCCACAGAGTGGTCCAAATAGCCACTTGCAGATCCTACAGAAAGAGTGTTTCAAACCTGAACTATCAAAGGAAGGTTCAACTCTGGGATTTGAATGCAAACATCACCAAGAAGTTTCTGAGAATGCTTCTGTTTAGTTTTTATGTGAAGATATTCCCGTTTCCAAAGACATCTTCGGAGAGGTCCACATATCCACTTGCAGATTCCACAAAAAGAGAGTTTCAACACTGCTCTATCCATAGGAGGGTTCAACTCTGTGAGTTGAATGCAATCATCACAGAGAAGTTTCTGAGAAGGCTTCTCTCCAGTTTTTATGTGACCATAATTCGTTTTCCACCACAGGCCTGAAAGCGCTCCAAATGTCCACTTGCAGACACTACGAAAAGCATGTTTCAGAACTACTCTATGAAAAGCAACGTGAAACTCTGGGAGTTGAACACAAACATCACAGAGAAGTTTCTGAGAATGCTTCTGTTTTAGTTCTGTGCGTTTTATCCCGTTTCCAACGAAATCCTCAGAGAGGCCCAAATATCCACTTGCAGATTCCACAGAAAGAGTGATTGGAAACTGCTGTTTGAAAAGGAACCTTCAACTCTGTGAGTTGAATGCAATCATCACAAAGAAGTTTCTGACAATGCTTCTATCTAGCTTTTACGGGAAGATAATTCCTTTTCCACCACAGGCCTCAAAGCTCCCCAAATGTCCACTTGCACATTCTGGAAAAAGAGTGTTTCAAAGCTTCTCTCTCGAAAGGAAAGTTCAACTCTGTGAGTTGAATGCAAGCATCACAAAGAAGTTTCTGAGAATGCTACTGTCTAGCTTTTATATGAAGCTATTTCCTTTACTACCATAGGCCTCAAAGCGGTCCATATCTCCACTTGCAGATTCTACACAAAGAGAGTTTCCAAACTGCTCTGTCAAAGGGAATGTTCAACTCTGTGACTTGAATGCAATCATCACAAAGTAGTTTCTGAGAATGCTTCCGTTTAGTTCTGTGCGGTTTATCCCGTTTCCAACGAAATCCTCAGAGAGGCCCACATATCCACTTGCACATTCTACAAATAGTGTGTTTCGAAACTGCTCCATCCAAAGGAATGTTCAGCTCTGTGAGTTAAACTCAGTCGTCACCAAGAGTTTTCTCTGAATGCTTCTGTTTTAGTTCTGTGCGGGTTATCCCGTTTCCAACGAAATCCTCAGAGAGGTCCAAATATCTACTTGCAGTTTCTACAGAAAGACCGTTTCAAACCTGAACTATCAAAGAAAGGTTCAACACTGTGAGTTGAATGCAAACATCACGAAGAAGGTTCTGAGAATGCTTCTGTTTTAGTTCTGTGCGGTTTATCCCGTTTCCAACGAAATCCTCAGAGAGGACCAAATATCCACTTGCAGTTTCTACAAAAAGAGTGTTTCAAAGCTGCACTATCAAAGAAAGGTTCAGCACTGTGAGTTGAATGCAAACACCACGAAGAGGGCTCTGAGAATTCTTCTGTCTTCTTTTTATAGGAAGTTATTTCCTTTACTACGGTACTCCTCAAAGAGTGCAATGATCCCCTTGCAGTTTCTACAAAAAGAGTGTTTCAAACCTGAACTATCAAAGAAAGGTTCCACACTGTGAGTTGAATGCAGACATCACGAAGAAGGTTCTGAGAATGCTTCTGTTTAGTCAGCTGAAATTATCCCGTTTCCAACGAATTCCTCAGAGAGGTCCAAATATGCACTTGCAGATTCTGCAGAAAGTGTGTTTCTAAACTGCTACATCGCAAGGAATGTTCAGCTCTGTGAGTTCCACTCAATCATCCCAAAGAATTTTCTGAGAAAGCTTCTGTCTAGATGTCATGTGAAGATATACCCGTTTCGAACGAAGGACACAGTAGTGGTCCAAATATCCACTTGTAGATCCTGCAAAAAGAGTGTTTCAAACGTGAACTTTGAAAGGAAAGTTCAACTCTGGGATTTGAATGCAAACATCACAAAGAAGATTCTGAGACTGTTTCTGTATAGTTTTTATGTGAAGATGATTCCGTTTCCAACGAAATCTTCAAAGAGGTCTACATGTCCCCTTGCAGATGCCACAGAAAGAGAGTTTCAAAACTGCGCTCTCAAAAGGAGTGTTCAACTCCGTGAGTTGAATGCAGTCATCACAGAGAAGCTTCTGAGAATGCTTCTCTCTAGTATTTAGGTGAAGATATTTCCTTTTCCACCACAAACCACAAAGCCCTCCAAACGTCCACTTGCAGATTCTAGAAAAAGAGTGTTTCATAGCTGCTCTTTCCAAAGGAAAGTTCAACTCTGGGAGTTGAATACAAACATCACCAAAAAGTTCCTGAGAATGCATCTGTCTAGTTTTTCTATGAAGCTATTCCCTTTACTACCATAGGCCTCAAAGCGCTCCAAATCTCCACTTGCACATTCCACAACAAGAGTGATTCCAAACTGCTCTATCAATAGGAATGTTCAACTCTGTGAGGTGAATGCAATCATCACAAAGCAGTTTCTGAGAATGCTTCCGTTTAGTTAGGTGCAGTTATCCCGTTTCCAACGAAATCCTCAGAGAGGTCCAAATATCCACTTGTAGATTCTACAAAAAGTGTGTCTCAAACCTGCTCCATCCAAAGGAATGTTCAGCTCTGTGATTTAAACTCAATCATCACAAAGTATTTTCTGAGAATGCTTCTGTCTAGATTTTATGCGAAGATATACCCGTTTCGAACGAAGGCCACAGAGTGGTCCAAATAGCCACTTGCAGATCCTACAGAAAGAGTGTTTCAAACCTGAACTATCAAAGGAAGGTTCAACTCTGGGATTTGAATGCAAACATCACCAAGAAGTTTCTGAGAATGCTTCTGTTTAGTTTTTATGTGAAGATATTCCCGTTTCCAAAGACATCTTCGGAGAGGTCCACATATCCACTTGCAGATTCCACAAAAAGAGAGTTTCAACACTGCTCTATCCATAGGAGGGTTCAACTCTGTGAGTTGAATGCAATCATCACAGAGAAGTTTCTGAGAAGGCTTCTCTCCAGTTTTTATGTGACCATAATTCGTTTTCCACCACAGGCCTGAAAGCGCTCCAAATGTCCACTTGCAGACACTACGAAAAGCATGTTTCAGAACTACTCTATGAAAAGCAACGTGAAACTCTGGGAGTTGAACACAAACATCACAGAGAAGTTTCTGAGAATGCTTCTGTTTTAGTTCTGTGCGTTTTATCCCGTTTCCAACGAAATCCTCAGAGAGGCCCAAATATCCACTTGCAGATTCCACAGAAAGAGTGATTGGAAACTGCTGTTTGAAAAGGAACCTTCAACTCTGTGAGTTGAATGCAATCATCACAAAGAAGTTTCTGACAATGCTTCTATCCAGCTTTTACGGGAAGATAATTCCTTTTCCACCACAGGCCTCAAAGCCCTCCAAATGTCCACTTGCAGATTCTGGAAAAAGAGTGTTTCAAAGCTTCTCTCTCGAAAGGAAAGTTCAACTCTGTGAGTTGAATGCAAGCATCACAAAGAAGTTTCTGAGAATGCTACTGTCTAGCTTTTATATGAAGCTATTTCCTTTACTACCATAGGCCTCAAAGCGGTCCATATCTCCACTTGCAGATTCTACACAAAGACAGTTTCCAAACTGCTCTGTCAAAGGGAATGTTCAACTCTGTGACTTGAATGCAATCATCACAAAGTAGTTTCTGAGAATGCTTCTGTTTAGTTCTGTGCGGTTTATCCCGTTTCCAACGAAATCCTCAGAGAGGCCCACATATCCACTTGCACATTCTACAAATAGTGTGTTTCGAAACTGCTCCATCCAAAGGAATGTTCAGCTCTGTGAGTTAAACTCAGTCGTCACCAAGAGTTTTCTGTGAATGCTTCTGTTTTAGTTCTGTGCGGGTTATCCCGTTTCCAACGAAATCCTCAGAGAGGTCCAAATATCTACTTGCAGTTTCTACAGAAAGACCGTTTCAAACCTGAACTATCAAAGAAAGGTTCAACACTGTGAGTTGAATGCAAACATCACGAAGAAGGTTCTGAGAATGCTTCTGTTTAGTTCTGTGCGGTTTATCCCGTTTCCAACGAAATCCTCAGAGAGGACCAAATATCCACTTGCAGTTTCTACAAGAAGAGTGTTTCAAAGCTGAACTATCAAAGAAAGGTTCAGCACTGTGAGTTGAATGCAAACATCACGAAGAGGGTTCTGAGAATGCTTCTGTCTTCTTTCTATAGGAAGTTATTTCCTTTACTACGGTAGGCCTCAAAGAAGTGCAATTATCCCCTTGCAGTTTCTACAAAAAGAGTGTTTCAAACCTGAACTATCAAAGAAAGGTTCCACACTGTGAGTTGAATGCAGACATCACGAAGAAGGTTCTGAGAATGCTTCTGTTTAGTCAGCTGAAATTATCCCGTTTCCAACGAATTCCTCAGAGAGGTCCAAATATGCACTTGCAGCTTCTGCAGAAAGTGTGTTTCTAAACTGCTACATCGCAAGGAATGTTCAGCTCTGTGAGTTCAACTCAATCATTCCAAAGAATTTTCTGAGAAAGCTTCTGTCTAGATGTCATGTGAAGATATACCCGTTTCGAACGAAGGACACAGAGTGGTCCAAATATCCACTTGTAGATCCTGCAAAAAGAGTGTTTCAAACGTGAACTTTGAAAGGAAAGTTCAACTCTGGGATTTGAATGCAAACATCACAAAGAAGATTCTGAGACTGCTTCTGTATAGTTTTTATGTGAAGATGATTCCGTTTCCAACGAAATCTTCAAAGAGGTCTACATGTCCCCTTGCAGATGCCACAGAAAGTGAGTTTCAAAACTGCGCTCTCAAAAGGAGTGTTCAACTCCGTGAGTTGAATGCAGTCATCACAGAGAAGCTTCTGAGAATGCTTCTATCTAGTATTTAGGTGAAGATATTTCCTTTTCCACCACAAACCACAAAGCCCTCCAAACGTCCACTTGCAGATTCTAGAAAAAGAGTGTTTCATAGCTGCTCTTTCCAAAGGAAAGTTCAACTCTGGGAGTTGAATACAAACATCACCAAAAGGTTCCTGAGAATGCATCTGTCTAGTTTTTCTATGAAGCTATTCCCTTTACTACCACAGGCCTCAAAGCGCTCCAAATCTCCACTTGCACATTCCACAACAAGAGTGTTTCCAAACTGCTCTATCAATAGGAATGTTCAACTCTGTGAGGTGAATGCAATCATCACAAAGCAGTTTCTGAGAATGCTTCCGTTTAGTTAGGTGCAGTTATCCCGTTTCCAACGAAATCCTCAGAGAGGTCCAAATATCCACTTGTAGATACTACAAAAAGTGTGTATCAAACCTGCTCCATCCAAAGGAATGTTCAGCTCTGTGAGTTAAACTCAATCATCACAAAGTATTTTCTGAGAATGCTTCTGTCTAGATGTCATGTGAACATATACCCGTTTCGAAAGAAGGACACAGAGTGGTCCAAATATCCACTTGTAGATCCTACAAAAAGAGTGTTTCAATCCTGAACTATCAAAGGAAGGTTCAACTCTGGGATTTGAATGGAAACATCACCAAGAAGTTTCTGAGAATGCTTCTGTATAGTTTTTATGTGAAGATGATTCCGTTTCCAACGAAATCTTCAAAGAGGTCTACATGTCCCCTTGCAGATGCCACAGAAAGAGAGTTTCAAAACTGCGCTCTCAAAAGGAGTGTTCAACTCCTTGAGTTGAATGCAGTCATCACAGAGAAGCTTCTGAGAATGCTTCTATCTAGTATTTAGGTGAAGATATTTCCTTTTCCACCACAAACCACAAAGCCCTCCAAACGTCCACTTGCAGATTCTAGAAAAAGAGTGTTTCATAGCTGCTCTTTCCAAAGGAAAGTTCAACTCTGGGAGTTGAATACAAACATCACCAAAAAGTTCCTGAGAATGCATCTGTCTAGTTTTTCTATGAAGCTATTCCCTTTACTACCATAGGCCTCAAAGCGCTCCAAATCTCCACTTGCACATTCCACAACAAGAGTGTTTCCAAACTGCTCTATCAATAGGAATGTTCAACTCTGTGAGGTGAATGCAACCATCACAAAGCAGTTTCTGAGAATGCTTCCGTTTAGTTAGGTGCAGTTATCCCGTTTCCAACGAAATCCTCAGAGAGGTCCAAATATCCACTTGTAGATTCTACAAAAAGTGTGTCTCAAACCTGCTCCATCCAAAGGAATGGTCAGCTCTGTGATTTAAACTCAATCATCACAAAGTATTTTCTGAGAATGCTTCTGTCTAGATTTTATGCGAAGATATACCCGTTTCGAACGAAGGCCACAGAGTGGTCCAAATAGCCACTTGCAGATCCTACAGAAAGAGTGTTTCAAACCTGAACTATCAAAGGAAGGTTCAACTCTGGGATTTGAATGCAAACATCACCAAGAAGTTTCTGAGAATGCTTCTGTTTAGTTTTTATGTGAAGATATTCCCGCTTCCAAAGACATCTTCGGAGAGGTCCACATATCTGCTTGCAGATTCCACAAAAAGAGAGTTTCAACACTGCTCTATCCATAGGAGGGTTCAACACTGTGAGTTGAATGCAATCATCACAGAGAAGTTTCTGAGAAGGCTTCTCTCCAGTTTTTATGTGACCATAATTCGTTTTCCACCACAGGCCTGAAAGCGCTCCAAATGTCCACTTGCAGACACTACGAAAAGCATGTTTCAGAACTACTCTATGAAAAGCAACGTGAAACTCTGGGAGTTGAACACAAACATCACAGAGAAGTTTCTGAGAATGCTTCTGTTTAGCTTTTCTGTGAAGATTCTCCCGTTTCCAACGAAATCTTCAAAGAGGTCCAAATATCCACTTTCAGATTCCACAGAAAGAGTGATTGGAAACTGCTCTTTGAAAAGGAACCTTCAACTCTGTGTGTTGAATGCAATCATCACAAAGGAAGTTTCTGACAATGCTTCTATCTAGCTTTTACGGGAAGATAATTCCTTTTCCACCACAGGCCTCAAAGCCCTCCAAATGTCCACTTGCAGATTCTGGAAAAAGAGTGTTTCAAAGCTTGTCTCTCAAAAGGAATTTTCAACTCTGTGAGTGGAATGCAAGCATCACAAAGAAGAGTCTGAGAATGCTACTGTCTAGCTTTTATATGAAGCTATTTCCTTTACTACCATAGTCCTCAAAGCGGTCCATATCTCCACTTGCAGATTCTACACAAAGAGAGTTTCCAAACTGCTCTGTGAAAGGGAATGTTCAACTCTGTGACTTGAATGCAATCATCACAAAGTAGTTTCTGAGAATGCTTCTGTTTTAGTTCTGTGCGGTTTATCCCGTTTCCAACGAAATCCTCAGAGAGGCCCAAATATCCACTTGCAGATTCTACAAATAGTGTGTTTCGAAACTGCTCCATCCAAAGGAATGTTCAGCTCTGTGAGTTAAACTCAGTCGTCACCAAGAGTTTTCTGTGAATGCTTCTGTTTTAGTTCTGTGCGGTTTATCCCGTTTCCAACGAAATCCTCAGAGAGGTCCAAATATCTACTTGCAGTTTCTACAGAAAGACCGTTTCCAACCTGAACTATCAAAGAAAGGTTCAACACTGTGAGTTGAATGCAAACATCACGAAGAAGGTTCTGAGAATGCTTCTGTTTTAGTTCTGTGCGGTTTATCCCGTTTCCAACGAAATCCTCAGGGAGGACCAAACATCCACTTGCAGTTTCTACAAAAAGAGTGTTTCAAAGCTGCACTATCAAAGAAAGGTTCAGCACTGTGAGTTGAATGCAAACATCACGAAGAGGGCTCTGAGAATTCTTCTGTCTTCTTTCTATAGGAAGTTATTTCCTTTACTACGGTAGGCCTCAAAGAAGTGCAATTATCCCCTTGCAGTTTCTACAAAAAGAGTGTTTCAAACCTGAACTATCAAAGAAAGGTTCCACACTGTGAGTTGAATGCAGACATCACGAAGAAGGTTCTGAGAATGCTTCTGTTTAGTCAGCTGAAATTATCCCGTTTCCAACGAATTCCTCAGAGAGGTCCAAATATGCACTTGCAGATTCTGCAGAAAGTGTGTTTCTAAACTGCTACATCGCAAGGAATGTTCAGCTCTGTGAGTTCCACTCAATCATCCCAAAGAATTTTCTGAGAAAGCTTCTGTCTAGATGTCATGTGAAGATATACCCGTTTCGAACGAAGGACACAGAGTGGTCCAAATATCCACTTGTAGATCCTGCAAAAAGAGTGTTTCAAACGTGAACTTTGAAAGGAAAGTTCAACTCTGGGATTTGAATGCAAACATCACAAAGAAGATTCTGAGACTGCTTCTGTATAGTTTTTATGTGAAGATGATTCCGTTTCCAACGAAATCTTCAAAGAGGTCTACATGTCCCCTTGCAGATGCCACAGAAAGAGAGTTTCAAAACTGCGCTCTCAAAAGGAGTGTTCAACTCCGTGAGTTGAATGCAGTCATCACAGAGAAGCTTCTGAGAATGCTTCTATCTAGTATTTAGGTGAAGATATTTCCTTTTCCACCACAAACCACAAAGCCCTCCAAACGTCCACTTGCAGATTCTAGAAAAAGAGTGTTTCATAGCTGCTCTTTCCAAAGGAAAGTTCAACTCTGGGAGTTGAATACAAACATCACCAAAAAGTTCCTGAGAATGCATCTGTCTAGTTTTTCTATGAAGCTATTCCCTTTGCTACCACAGGCCTCAAAGCGCTCCAAATCTCCACTTGCACATTCCACAACAAGAGTGTTTCCAAACTGCTCTATCAATAGGAATGTTCAACTCTGTGAGGTGAATGCAATCATCACAAAGCAGTTTCTGAGAATGCTTCCGTTTAGTTAGGTGCAGTTATCCCGTTTCCAACGAAATCCTCAGAGAGGTCCAAATATCCACTTGTAGATTCTACAAAAAGTGTGTCTCAAACCTGCTCCATCCAAAGGAATGGTCAGCTCTGTGATTTAAACTCAATCATCACAAAGTATTTTCTGAGAATGCTTCTGTCTAGATTTTATGCGAAGATATACCCGTTTCGAACGAAGGCCACAGAGTGGTCCAAATAGCCACTTGCAGATCCTACAGAAAGAGTGTTTCAAACCTGAACTATCAAAGGAAGGTTCAACTCTGGGATTTGAATGCAAACATCACCAAGAAGTTTCTGAGAATGCTTCTGTTTAGTTTTTATGTGAAGATATTCCCGTTTCCAAAGACATCTTCGGAGAGGTCCACATATCCACTTGCAGATTCCACAAAAAGAGAGTTTCAACACTGCTCTATCCATAGGAGGGTTCAACTCTGTGAGTTGAATGCAATCATCACAGAGAAGTTTCTGAGAAGGCTTCTCTCCAGTTTTTATGTGACCATAATTCGTTTTCCACCACAGGCCTGAAATCTCTCCAAATGTCCACTTGCAGACACTACGAAAGGCATGTTTCAGAACTACTCTATGAAAAGCAATGTGAAACTCTGGGAGTTGAACACAAACATCACAGAGAAGTTTCTGAGAATGCTTCTGTTTAGCTTTTCTGTGAAGATTATCCCGTTTCCAACGAAATCTTCAAAATAGGTCCAAATATACACTTGCAGATTCCACAGAAAGAGTGATTGGAAACTGCTGTTTGAAAAGGAACCTTCAACTCTGTGAGTTGAATGCAATCATCACAAAGAAGCTTCTGACTATGCTTCTATCTAGCTTTTACGGGAAGATAATTCCTTTTCCACCACAGGCCTCAAAGCCCTCCAAATGTCCACTTGCAGATTCTGGAAAAAGAGTGTTTCAAAGCTTCTCTCTCGAAAGGAAAGTTCAACTCTGTGAGTTGAATGCAAGCATCACAAAGAAGTTTCTGAGAATGCTACTGTCTAGCTTTTATATGAAGCTATTTCCTTTACTACCATAGGCCTCAAAGCGGTCCATATCTCCACTTGCAGATTCTACACAAAGAGAGTTTCCAAACTGCTCTGTCAAAGGGAATGTTCAACTCTGTGACTTGAATGCAATCATCACAAAGTAGTTTCTGAGAATGCTTCTGTTTTAGTTCTGTGCGTTTTATCCCGTTTCCAACGAAATCCTCAGAGAGGCCCAAATATCCACTTGCAGATTCTACAAATAGTGTGTTTCGAAACTGCTCCATCCAAAGGAATGTTCAGCTCTGTGAGTTAAACTCAGTCGTCACCAAGAGTTTTCTGTGAATGCTTCTGTTTTAGTTCTGTGCGGTTTATCCCGTTTCCAACGAAATCCTCAGAGAGGTCCAAATATCTACTTGCAGTTTCTACAGAAAGACCGTTTCCAACCTGAACTATCAAAGAAAGGTTCAACACTGTGAGTTGAATGCAAACATCACGAAGAAGGTTCTGAGAATGCTCTGTTTTAGTTCTGTGCGGTTTATCCCGTTTCCAACGAAATCCTCAGAGAGGACCAAATATCCACTTGCAGTTTCTACAAAAAGAGTGTTTCAAAGCTGCACTATCAAAGAAAGGTTCAGCACTGTGAGTTGAATGCAATCCTCAGAGAGTCTGTCTTCTTTTTATAGGAAGTTATTTCCTTTACTACGGTAGGCCTCAAAGAAGTGCAATGATCCCCTTGCAGTTTCTACAAAAAGAGTGTTTCAAACCTGAACTATCAAAGAAAGGTTCCACACTGTGAGTTGAATGCAGACATCACGAAGAAGGTTCTGAGAATGCTTCTGTTTAGTCAGCTGAAATTATCCCGTTTCCAACGAATTCCTCAGAGAGGTCCAAATATGCACTTGCAGATTCTGTAGAAAGTGTGTTTCTAAACTGCTACATCGCAAGGAATGTTCAGCTCTGTGAGTTCAACTCAATCATCCCAAAGAATTTTCTGAGAAAGCTTCTGTCTAGATGTCGTGTGAAGTTATACCCGTTTCGAACGAAGGACACAGAGTGGTCCAAATATCCACTTGTAGATCCTGCAAAAAGAGTGTTTCAAACGTGAACTTTGAAAGGAAAGTTCAACTCTGGGATTTGAATGCAAACATCACAAAGAAGATTCTGAGACTGCTTCTGTATAGTTTTTATGTGAAGATGATTCCGTTTCCAACGAAATCTTCAAAGAGGTCTACATGTCCCCTTGCAGATGCCACAGAAAGAGAGTTTCAAAACTGCGCTCTCAAAAGGAGTGTTCAACTCCGTGAGTTGAATGCAGTCATCACAGAGAAGCTTCTGAGAATGCTTCTATCTAGTATTTAGGTGAAGATATTTCCTTTTCCACCACAAACCACAAAGCCCTCCAAACGTCCACTTGCAGATTCTAGAAAAAGAGTGTTTCATAGCTGCTCTTTCCAAAGGAAAGTTCAACTCTGGGAGTTGAATACAAACATCACCAAAAAGTTCCTGAGAATGCATCTGTCTAGTTTTTCTATGAAGCTATTCCCTTTACTACCATAGGCCTCAAAGCGCTCCAAATCTCCACTTGCACATCCCACAACAAGAGTGTTTCCAAACTGCTCTATCAATAGGAATGTTCAACTCTGTGAGGTGAATGCAATCATCACAAAGCAGTTTCTGAGAATGCTTCCGTTTAGTTAGGTGCAGTTATCCCGTTTCCAACGAAATCCTCAGAGAGGTCCAAATATCCACTTGTAGATTCTACAAAAAGTGTGTCTCGAACCTGCTCCATCCAAAGGAATGTTCAGCTCTGTGAGTTAAACTCAATCATCACAAAGTATTTTCTGAGAATGCTTCTGTCTAGATTTTATGCGAAGATATACCCGTTTCGAACGAAGGCCACAGAGTGGTCCAAATAGCCACTTGCAGATCCTACAAAAAGAGTGTTTCAAACCTGAACTATCAAAGGAAGGTTCAACTCTGGGATTTGAATGCAAACATCACCAAGAAGTTTCTGAGAATGCTTCTGTTTAGTTTTTATGTGAAGATATTCCCGTTTCCAAAGACAACTTCGGAGAGGTCCACATATCCACTTGCAGATTCGACAAAAAGAGAGTTTCAACACTGCTCTATCCATAGGAGGGTTCAACTCTGTGAGTTGAATGCAATCATCACAGAGAAGTTTCTGAGAAGGCTTCTCTCCAGTTTTTATGGGACCATAATTCGTTTTCCACCACAGGCCTGAAAGCGCTCCAAATGTCCACTTGCAGACACTACGAAAAGCATGTTTCAGAACTACTCTATGAGAAGCAATGTGAAACTCTGGGAGTTGAACACAAACATCACAGAGAAGTTTCTGAGAATGCTTTCTGTTTAGCTTTTCTGTGAAGATTCTCCCGTTTCCAACGAAATCTTCAAAGAGGTCCAAATATCCACTTGCACATTCCACAGAATGAGTGATTGGAAACTGCTGTTTGAAAAGGAACCTTCAACTCTGTGAGTTGAATGCAATCATCACAAAGAAGTTTCTGACAATGCTTCTATCTAGCTTTTACGGGAAGATAATTCCTTTTCCACCACAGGCCTCAAAGCCCTCCAAATGTCCACTTGCAGATTCTGGAAAAAGAGTGTTTGAAAGCTTCTCTCTCGAAAGGAAAGTTCAACTCTGTGAGTTGAATGCAAGCATCACAAAGAAGTTTCTGAGAATGCTACTGTCTAGCTTTTATATGAAGCTATTTCCTTTACTACCATAGGCCTCAAAGCGGTCCATATCTCCACTTGCAGATTCTACACAAAGAGAGTTTCCAAACTGCTCTGTCAAAGGGAATGTTCAACTCTGTGACTTGAATGCAATCATCACAAAGTAGTTTCTGAGAATGCTTCTGTTTATTTCTGTGCCGTTTATACCGTTTCCAACGAAATCCTCAGAGAGGCCCCAATATCCACTTGCACATTCTACAAATAGTGTGTTTCGAAACTGCTCCATCCAAAGGGATGTTCAGCTCTGTGAGTTAAACTCAGTCGTCACCAAGAGTTTTCTGTGAATGCTTCTGTTTTAGTTCTGTGCGGTTTATCCCGTTTCCAACGAAATCCTCAGAGAGGTCCAAATATCTACTTGCAGTTTCTACAGAAAGACCGTTTCCAACCTGAACTATCAAAGAAAGGTTCAACACTGTGAGTTGAATGCAAACATCACGAAGAGGGTTCTGAGAATGCTTCTGTTTAGTTCTGTGCGGTTTATCCCGTTTCCAACGAAATCCTCAGAGAGGACCAAATATCCACTTGCAGTTTCTACAAAAAGAGTGTTTCAAAGCTGAACTATCAAAGAAAGGTTCAGCACTGTGAGTTGAATGCAAACATCACGAAGAGGGTCCTGAGAATGCTTTCTGTCTTCTTTTTATAGGAAGTTATTTCCTTTACTACGGTACTCCTCAAAGAGTGCAATTATCCCCTTGCAGTTTCTACAAAAAGAGTGTTTCAAACCTGAACTATCAAAGAAAGGTTCCACACTGTGAGTTGAATGCAGACATCACGAAGAAGGTTCTGAGAATGCTTCTGTTTAGTCAGCTGAAATTATCCCGTTTCCAACGAATTCCTCAGAGAGGTCCAAATATGCACTTGCAGATTCTGCAGAAAGTGTGTTTCTAAACTGCTACATCGCAAGGAATGTTCAGCTCTGTGAGTTCCACTCAATCATCCCAAAGAATTTTCTGAGAAAGCTTCTGTCTAGATGTCATGTGAAGATATACCCGTTTCGAACGAAGGACACAGAGTGGTCCAAATATCCACTTGTAGATCCTGCAAAAAGAGTGTTTCAAACGTGAACTTGGAAAGGAAAGTTCAACTCTGGGATTTGAATGCGAAACATCACAAAGAAGATTCTGAGACTGCTTCTGTATAGTTTTTATGTGAAGATGATTCCGTTTCCAACGAAATCTTCAAAGAGGTCTACATGTCCCCTTGCAGATGCCACAGAAAGAGAGTTTCAAAACTGCGCTCTCAAAAGGAGTGTTCAACTCCGTGAGTTGAATGCAGTCATCACAGAGAAGCTTCTGAGAATGCTTCTCTCTAGTATTTAGGTGAAGATATTTCCTTTTCCACCACAAACCACAAAGCCCTCCAAACGTCCACTTGCAGATTCTAGAAAAAGAGTGCTTCATAGCTGCTCTTTCCAAAGGAAAGTTCAACTCTGGGAGTTGAATACAAACATCACCAAAAAGTTCCTGAGAATGCATCTGTCTAGTTTTTCTATGAAGCTATTCCCTTTACTACCACAGGCCTCAAAGCGCTCCAAATCTCCACTTGCACATTCCACAACAAGAGTGTTTCCAAACTGCTCTATCAATAGGAATGTTCAACTCTGTGAGGTGAATGCAATCATCACAAAGCAGTTTCTGAGAATGCTTCCGTTTAGTTAGGTGCAGTTATCCCGTTTCCAACGAAATCCTCAGAGAGGTCCAAATATCCACTTGTAGATTCTACAAAAAGTGTGTCTCAAACCTGCTCCATCCAAAGGAATGGTCAGCTCTGTGATTTAAACTCAATCATCACAAAGTATTTTCTGAGAATGCTTCTGTCTAGATTTTATGTGAAGATGTACCCGTTTCGAACGAAGGCCACAGAGTGGTCCAAATATCCACTTGCAGATCCTACAAAAAGAGTGTTTCAAACCTGAACTATCACAGGAAGGTTCAACTCTGGGATTTGAATGCAAACATCACCAAGAAGTTTCTGAGAATGCTTCTGTTTAGTTTTTATGTGAAGATATGCCCGTTTCCAAAGACATCTTCGGAGAGGTCCACATATCCACTTGCAGATTCCACAAAAAGAGAGTTTCAACAATGCTCTATCCATAGGAGGGTTCAAATCTGTGAGTTGAATGCAATCATCACAGAGAAGTTTCTGAGAAGGCTTCTCTCCAGTTTTTATGGGACCATAATTCGTTTTCCACCACAGGCCTGAAAGCGCTCCAAATGTCCACTTGCAGACACTACGAAAAGCATGTTTCAGAACTACTCTATGAAAAGCAATGTGAAACTCTGGGAGTTGAACACAAACATCACAGAGAAGTTTCTGAGAATGCTTCTGTTTTAGTTCTGTGCGTTTTATCCCGTTTCCAACGAAATCCTCAGAGAGGCCCAAATATCCACTTGCAGATTCCACAGAAAGAGTGATTGGAAACTGCTGTTTGAAAAGGAACCTTCAACTCTGTGAGTTGAATGCAATCATCACAAAGAAGTTTCTGACAATGCTTCTATCTAGCTTTTACGGGAAGATAATTCCTTTTCCACCACAGGCCTCAAAGCCCTCCAAATGTCCACTTGCAGATTCTGGAAAAAGAGTGTTTCAAAGCTTCTCTCTCGAAAGGAAAGTTCAACTCTGTGAGTTGAATGCAAGCATCACAAAGAAGTTTCTGAGAATGCTACTGTCTAGCTTTTATATGAAGCTATTTCCTTTACTACCATAGGCCTCAAAGCGGTCCATATCTCCACTTGCAGATTCTACACAAAGAGAGTTTCCAAACTGCTCTGTCAAAGGGAATGTTCAACTCTGTGACTTGAATGCAATCATCACAAAGTAGTTTCTGAGAATGCTTCTGTTTTAGTTCTGTGCGGTTTATCCCGTTTCCAACGAAATCCTCAGAGAGGCCCAAATATCCACTTGCAGATTCTACAAATAGTGTGTTTCGAAACTGTTCCATCCAAAGGAATGTTCAGCTCTGTGAGTTAAACTCAGTCGTCACCAAGAGTTTTCTGTGAATGCTTCTGTTTTAGTTCTGTGCGGTTTATCCCGTTTCCAACGAAATCCTCGGAGAGGTCCAAATATCTACTTGCAGTTTCTACAGAAAGACCGTTTCAAAGCTGAACTATCAAAGAAAGGTTCAGCACTGTGAGTTGAATGCAAACATCACGAAGAGGGTTCTGAGAATGCTTCTGTTTAGTTCTGTGCGGTTTATCCCTTTTCCAACGAAATCCTCAGAGAGGACCAAATATCCACTTGCAGTTTCTACAAAAAGAGTGTTTCAAAGCTGAACTATCAAAGAAAGGTTCAGCACCGTGAGTTGAATGCAAACATCACGAAGAGGGTTCTGAGAATGCTTCTGTCTTCTTTCTATAGGAAGTTATTTCCTTTACTACGGTAGGCCTCAAAGAAGTGCAATTATCCCCTTGCAGTTTCTACAAAAAGAGTGTTTCAAACCTGAACTATCAAAGAAAGGTTCCACACTGTGAGTTGAATGCAGACATCACGAAGAAGGTTCTGAGAATGCTTCTGTTTAGTCAGCTGAAATTATCCCGTTTCCAACGAATTCCTCAGAGAGGTCCAAATATGCACTTGCAGATTCTGCAGAAAGTGTGTTTCTAAACTGCTACATCGCAAGGAATGTTCAGCTCTGTGAGTTCCACTCAATCATCCCAAAGAATTTTCTGAGAAAGCTTCTGTCTAGATGTCGTGTGAAGATATACCCGTTTCGAACGAAGGACACAGAGTGGTCCAAATATCCACTTGTAGATCCTGCAAAAAGAGTGTTTCAAACGTGAACTTTGAAAGGAAAGTTCAACTCTGGGATTTGAATGCAAACATCACAAAGAAGATTCTGAGACTGCTTCTGTATAGTTTTTATGTGAAGATGATTCCGTTTCCAACGAAATCTTCAAAGAGGTCTACATGTCCCCTTGCAGATGCCACAGAAAGAGAGTTTCAAAACTACGCTCTCAAAAGGAGTGTTCAACTCCGTGAGTTGAATGCAGTCATCACAGAGAAGCTTCTGAGAATGCTTCTATCTAGTATTTAGGTGAAGATATTTCCTTTTCCACCACAAACCACAAAGCCCTCCAAACGTCCACTTGCAGATTCTAGAAAAAGAGTGTTTCATAGCTGCTCTTTCCAAAGGAAAGTTCAACTCTGGGAGTTGAATACAAACATCACCAAAAAGTTCCTGAGAATGCATCTGTCTAGTTTTTCTATGAAGCTATTCCCTTTACTACCATAGGCCTCAAAGCGCTCCAAATCTCCACTTGCACATTCCACAACAAGAGTGTTTCCAAACTGCTCTATCAATAGGAATGTTCAACTCTGTGAGGTGAATGCAATCATCACAAAGCAGTTTCTGAGAATGCTTCCGTTTAGTTAGGTGCAGTTATCCCGTTTCCAACGAAATCCTCAGAGAGGTCCAAATATCCACTTGTAGATTCTACAAAAAGTGTGTCTCAAACCTGCTCCATCCAAAGGAATGTTCAGCTCTGTGAGTTCAACTCAATCATCACAAAGTATTTTCTGAGAATGCTTCTGTCTAGATTTTATGCGAAGATGTACCGGTTTCGAACGAAGGCCACAGAGTGGTCCAAATATCCACTTGCAGATCCTACAAAAAGAGTGTTTCAAACCTGAACTCTCAAAGGAAGGTTCAACTCTGGGATTTGAATGCAAACATCACCAAGAAGTTTCTGAGAATGCTTCTGTTTAGTTTTTAGGGTGAAGATATTCCCGTTTCCAAAGACATCTTCGGAGAGGTCCACATATCCACTTGCAGATTCCACAAAAAGAGAGTTTCAACACTGCTCTATCCATAGGAGGGTTCAACTCTGTGAGTTGAATGCAATCATCACAGAGAAGTTTCTGAGAAGGCTTCTCTCCAGTTTTTATGTGACCATAATTCGTTTTCCACCACAGGCCTGAAAGCGCTCCAAATGTCCAGTTGCAGACACTACGAAAAGCATGTTTCAGAACTGCTCTATGAGAAGCAATGTGACACTCTGGGAGTTGAACACAAACATCACTGAGAAGTTTCTGAGAATGCTTCTATCCAGCTTTTACGGGAAGATAATTCCTTTTCCACCACAGGCCTCAAAGCCCTCCAAATGTCCACTTGCAGATTCTGGAAAAAGAGTGTTTCAAAGCTTCTCTCTCGAAAGGAAAGTTCAACTCTGTGAGTTGAATGCAATCATCACAAAGAAGTTTCTGACAATGCTACTGTCTAGCTTTTATATGAAGCTATTTCCTTTACTACCATAGTCCTGAAAGTATTCCATATCTCCACTTGCAGATTCTACACAAAGAGAGTTTCCAAACTGCTCTGTCAAAGGGAATGTTCAGCTCTGTGACTTCAATGCAATCATCACAAAGTAGTTTCTCAGAATGCTTCTGTTTTAGTTCTGTGCGGTTTATCCCGTTTCGAACGAAATCCTCAGAGAGGCCCACATATCCACTTGCAGATTCTACAAATAGTGTGTTTCGAAACTGTTCCATCCAAAGGAATGTTCAGCTCTGTGAGTTAAACTCAGTCGTCACCAAGAGTTTTTTGTGAATGCTTCTGTTTAGTTCTGTGCGGTTTATGCCGTTTCCAACGAAATCCTCAGAGAGGACCAAATATCCACTTGCAGTTTCTACAAAAAGAGTGTTTCAAAGCTGAACTATCAAAGAAAGGTTCAGCACTGTGAGTTGAATGCAAACATCACGAAGAGGGTTCTGAGAATGCTTCTGTTTAGTTCTGTGCGGTTTATCCCGTTTCCAACGAAATCCTCAGAGAGGACCAAATATCCACTTGCAGTTTCTAAAAGAAGAGTGTTTCAAAGCTGAACTATCAAAGAAAGGTTCAGCACTGTGAGTTGAATGCAAACATCACGAAGAGGGTTCTGAGAATGCTTCTGTCTTCTTTCTATAGGAAGTTATTTCCTTTACTACGGTAGGCCTCAAAGAAGTGCAATTATCCCCTTGCAGTTTCTACAAAAAGAGTGTTTCAAACCTGAACTATCAAAGAAAGGTTCCACACTGTGAGTTGAATGCAGACATCACGAAGAAGGTTCTGAGAATGCTTCTGTTTAGTCAGCTGAAATTATCCCGTTTCCAACGAATTCCTCAGAGAGGTCCAAATATGCACTTGCAGATTCTGCAGAAAGTGTGTTTCTAAACTGCTACATCGCAAGGAATGTTCAGCTCTGTGAGTTCCACTCAATCATCCCAAAGAATTTTCTGAGAAAGCTTCTGTCTAGATGTCGTGTGAAGTTATACCCGTTTCGAACGAAGGACACAGAGTGGTCCAAATATCCACTTGTAGATCCTGCAAAAAGAGTGTTTCAAACGTGAACTTTGAAAGGAAAGTTCAACTCTGGGATTTGAATGCAAACATCACAAAGAAGATTCTGAGACTGCTTCTGTATAGTTTTTATGTGAAGATGATTCCGTTTCCAACGAAATCTTCAAAGAGGTCTACATGTCCCCTTGCAGATGCCACAGAAAGAGAGTTTCAAAACTGCGCTCTCAAAAGGAGTGTTCAACTCCGTGAGTTGAATGCAGTCATCACAGAGAAGCTTCTGAGAATGCTTCTGTCTAGTATTTAGGTGAAGATATTTCCTTTTCCACCACAAACCACAAAGCCCTCCAAACGTCCACTTGCAGATTCTAGAAAAAGAGTGTTTCATAGCTGCTCTTTCCAAAGGAAAGTTCAACTCTGGGAGTTGAATACAAACATCACCAAAAGGTTCCTGAGAATGCATCTGTCTAGTTTTTCTATGAAGCTATTCCCTTTACTACCATAGACCTCAAAGCGCTCCAAATCTCCACTTGCACATTCCACAACAAGAGTGTTTCCAAACTGCTCTATCAATAGGAATGTTCAACTCTGTGAGGTGAATGCAATCATCACAAAGCAGTTTCTGAGAATGCTTCCGTTTAGTTAGGTGCAGTTATCCCGTTTCCAACGAAATCCTCAGAGAGGTCCAAATATCCACTTGTAGATTCTACAAAAAGTGTGTCTCAAACCTGCTCCATCCAAAGGAATGTTCAGCTCTGTGAGTTCAACTCAATCATCACAAAGTATTTTCTGAGAATGCTTCTGTCTAGATTTTATACGAAGATATACCCGTTTCGAACGAAGGCCACAGAGTGGTCCAAATATCCACTTGCAGATCCTACAAAAAGAGTGTTTCAAACCTGAACTATCAAAGGAAGGTTCAACTCTGGGATTTGAATGCAAACATCACCAAGAAGTTTCTGAGAATGCTTCTGTTTAGTTTTTATGTGAAGATATTCCCGTTTCCAAAGACATCTTCGGAGAGGTCCACATATCCACTTGCAGATTCGACAAAAAGAGAGTTTCAACACTGCTCTATCCATAGGAGGGTTCAACTCTGTGAGTTGAATGCAATCATCACAGAGAAGTTTCTGAGAAGGCTTCTCTCCAGTTTTTATGTGACCATAATTCGTTTTCCACCACAGGCCTGAAAGCGCTCCAAATGTCCACTTGTAGACACTACGAAAAGCATGTTTCAGAACTACTCTATGAAAAGCAATGTGAAACTCTGGGAGTTGAACACAAACATCACAGAGAAGTTTCTGAGAATGCTTCTGTTTAGCTTTCCTGTGAAGATTCTCCCGTTTCCAACGAAATCTTCAAAATAGGTCCAAATATCCACTTGCAGACTCCACAGAAAGAGTGATTGGAAACTGCTCTTTGAAAAGGAACCTTCAACTCTGTGAGTTGAATGCAATCATCACAAAGAAGTTTCTGACAATGCTTCTATCTAGCTTTTACGGGAAGATAATTCCATTTCCACCACAGACATCAAAGCCCTCCAAAGGTCCACTTGCAGATTCTGGAAAAAGAGTGTTTCAAAGCTTCTCTCTCGAAAGGAAAGTTCAACTCTGTGAGTTGAATGCAAGCATCACAAAGAAGTTTCTGAGAATGCTACTGTCTAGCTTTTATATGAAGCTATTTCCTTTACTACCATATGCCTCAAAGCATTCCATATCTCCACTTGCAGATTCTACACAAAGAGAGTTTCCAAACTTCTCTGTCAAAGGGAATGTTCAGCTCTGTGACTTGAATGCAATCATCACAAAGTAGTTTCTGAGAATGCTTCTGTTTAGTTCTGTGCGGTTTATCCCGTTTCCAACGAAATCCTCAGAGAGGCCCAAATATCCACTTGCACATTCTACAAATAGTGTGTTTCGAAACTGCTCCATCCAAAGGAATGTTCAGCTCTGTGAGTTAAACTCAGTCGTCACCAAGAGTTTTCTGTGAATGCTTCTGTTTTAGTTCTGTGCGGGTTATCCCGTTTCCAACGAAATCCTCAGAGAGGTCCAAATATCTACTTGCAGTTTCTACAGAAAGACCGTTTCAAACCTGAACTATCAAAGAAAGGTTCAACACTGTGAGTTGAATGCAAACATCACGAAGAAGGTTCTGAGAATGCTTCTGTTTAGTTCTGTGCGGTTTATCCCGTTTCCAACGAAATCCTCAGAGAGGACCAAATATCCACTTGCAGTTTCTACAAGAAGAGTGTTTCAAAGCTGAACTATCAAAGAAAGGTTCAGCACTGTGAGTTGAATGCAAACATCACGAAGAGGGTTCTGAGAATGCTTCTGTCTTCTTTTTATAGGAAGTTATCTCCTTTACTACGGTAGGCCTCAAAGAAGTGCAATGATCCCCTTGCAGTTTCTACAAAAAGAGTGTTTCAAACCTGAACTGTCAAAGAAAGGTTCCACACTGTGAGTTGAATGCAGACATCACGAAGAAGGTTCTGAGAATGCTTTCTGTTTAGTCAGCTGAAATTATCCCGTTTCCAACGAATTCCTCAGAGAGGTCCAAATATGCACTTGCAGATTCTGCAGAAAGTGTGTTTCTAAACTGCTCCATCGCAAGGAATGTTCAGCTCTGTGAGTTCCACTCAATCATCCCAAAGAATTTTCTGAGAAAGCTTCTGTCTAGATGTCATGTGAAGATATACCCGTTTCGAACGAAGGACACAGAGTGGTCCAAATATCCACTTGTAGATCCTGCAAAAAGAGTGTTTCAAACGTGAACTTTGAAAGGAAAGTTCAATTCTGGGATTGGAATGCAAACATCACAAAGAAGATTCTGAGACTGCTTCTGTATAGTTTTTATGTGAAGATGATTCCGTTTCCAACGAAATCTTCAAAGAGGTCTACATGTCCCCTTGCAGATGCCACAGAAAGAGAGTTTCAAAACTGCGCTCTCAAAAGGAGTGTTCAACTCCGTGAGTTGAATGCAGTCATCACAGAGAAGCTTCTGAGAATGCTTCTATCTAGTATTTAGGTGAAGATATTTCCTTTTCCACCACAAACCACAAAGCCCTCCAAACGTCCACTTGCAGATTCTAGAAAAAGAGTGTTTCATAGCTGCTCTTTCCAAAGGAAAGTTCAACTCTGGGAGTTGAATACAAACATCACCAAAAAGTTCCTGAGAATGCATCTGTCTAGTTTTTCTATGAAGCTATTCCCTTTACTACCATAGGCCTCAAAGCGCTCCAAATCTCCACTTGCACATTCCACAACAAGAGTGTTTCCAAACTGCTCTATCAATAGGAATGTTCAACTCTGTGAGGTGAATGCAATCATCACAAAGCAGTTTCTGAGAATGCTTCCGTTTAGTTAGGTGCAGTTATCCCGTTTCCAACGAAATCCTCAGAGAGGTCCAAATATCCACTTGTAGATTCTACAAAAAGTGTGTCTCAAACCTGCTCCATCCAAAGGAATGTTCAGCTCTGTGAGTTCAACTCAATCATCACAAAGTATTTTCTGAGAATGCTTCTGTCTAGATTTTATGCGAAGATATACCCGTTTCGAACGAAGGCCACAGAGTGGTCCAAATAGCCACTTGCAGATCCTACAGAAAGAGTGTTTCAAACCTGAACTATCAAAGGAAGGTTCAACTCTGGGATTTGAATGCAAACATCACCAAGAAGTTTCTGAGAATGCTTCTGTTTAGTTTTTATGTGAAGATATTCCCGTTTCCAAAGACATCTTCGGAGAGGTCCACATATCCACTTGCAGATTCCACAAAAAGAGAGTTTCAACACTGCTCTATCCATAGGAGGGTTCAACTCTGTGAGTTGAATGCAATCATCACAGAGAAGTTTCTGAGAAGGCTTCTCTCCAGTTTTTATGTGACCATAATTCGTTTTCCACCACAGGCCTGAAAGCGCTCCAAATGTGCACTTGTACACACTACGAAAAGCATGTTTCAGAACTACTCTATGAAAAGCAATGTGAAACTCTGGGAGTTGAACACAAACATCACAGAGAAGTTTCTGAGAATGCTTCTGTTTTAGTTCTGTGCGTTTTATCCCGTTTCCAACGAAATCCTCAGAGAGGCCCAAATATCCACTTGCAGATTCCACAGAAAGAGTGATTGGAAACTGCTGTTTGAAAAGGAACCTTCAACTCTGTGAGTTGAATGCAATCATCACAAAGAAGTTTCTGACAATGCTTCTATCTAGCTTTTACGGGAAGATAATTCCTTTTCCTCCACAGGCCTCAAAGCTCCCCAAATGTCCACTTGCACATTCTGGAAAAAGAGTGTTTCAAAGCTTCTCTCTCGAAAGGAAAGTTCAACTCTGTGAGTTGAATGCAAGCATCACAAAGAAGTTTCTGAGAATGCTACTGTCTAGCTTTTATATGAAGCTATTTCCTTTACTACCATAGGCCTCAAAGCGGTCCATATCTCCACTTGCAGATTCTACACAAAGAGAGTTTCCAAACTGCTCTGTCAAAGGGAATGTTCAACTCTGTGACTTGAATGCAATCATCACAAAGTAGTTTCTGAGAATGCTTCTGTTTAGTTCTGTGCTGTTTATCCCGTTTCCAACGAAATCCTCAGAGAGGCCCAAATATCCACTTGCAGATTCTACAAATAGTGTGTTTCGAAACTGCTCCATCCAAAGGAATGTCCAGCTCTGTGAGTTAAACTCAGTCGTCACCAAGAGTTTTCTGTGAATGCTTCCTGTTTAGTTCTGTGTATTTTATCCCGTTTCCAACGAAATGCTCAGAGAGGACCAAATATCCACTTGCAGTTTCTACAAAAAGAGTGTTTCAAAGCTGAACTATCAAAGAAAGGTTCAGCACTGTGAGTTGAATGCAAACATCACGAAGAGGGTTCTGAGAATGCTTCTGTTTAGTTCTGTGCGGTTTATCCCGTTTCCAACGAAATCCTCAGAGAGGACCAAATATCCACTTGCAGTTTCTACAAGAAGAGTGTTTCAAAGCTGAACTATCAAAGAAAGGTTCAGCACTGTGAGTTGAATGCAAACATCACGAAGAGGGTTCTGAGAATGCTTCTGTCTTCTTTCTATAGGAAGTTATTTCCTTTACTACGGTAGGCCTCAAAGAAGTGCAATTATCCCCTTGCAGTTTCTACAAAAAGAGTGTTTCAAACCTGAACTATCAAAGAAAGGTTCCACACTGTGAGTTGAATGCAGACATCACGAAGAAGGTTCTGAGAATGCTTCTGTTTAGTCAGCTGAAATTATCCCGTTTCCAATGAATTCCTCAGAGAGGTCCAAATATGCACTTGCAGATTCTGCAGAAAGTGTGTTTCTAAACTGCTACATCGCAAGGAATGTTCAGCTCTGTGAGTTCCACTCAATCATCCCAAAGAATTTTCTGAGAAAGCTTCTGTCTAGATGTCGTGTGGAGATATACCCGTTTCGAACGAAGGACACAGAGTGGTCCAAATATCCACTTGTAGATCCTGCAAAAAGAGTGTTTCAAACGTGAACTTTGAAAGGAAAGTTCAACTCTGGGATTTGAATGCAAACATCACAAAGAAGATTCTGAGACTGCTTCTGTATAGTTTTTATGTGAAGATGATTCCGTTTCCAACGAAATCTTCAAAGAGGTCTACATGTCCCCTTGCAGATGCCACAGAAAGAGAGTTTCAAAACTGCGCTCTCAAAAGGAGTGTTCAACTCCGTGAGTTGAATGCAGTCATCACAGAGAAGCTTCTGAGAATGCTTCTATCTAGTATTTAGGTGAAGATATTTCCTTTTCCACCACAAACCACAAAGCCCTCCAAACGTCCACTTGCAGATTCTAGAAAAAGAGTGTTTCATAGCTGCTCTTTCCAAAGGAAAGTTCAACTCTGGGAGTTGAATACAAACATCACCAAAAAGTTCCTGAGAATGCATCTGTCTAGTTTTTCTATGAAGCTATTCCCTTTACTACCATAGGCCACAAAGCGCTCCAAATCTCCACTTGCACATTCCACAACAAGAGTGTTTCCAAACTGCTCTATCAATAGGAATGTTCAACTCTGTGAGGGTGAATGCAATCATCACAAAGCAGTTTCTGAGAATGCTTCCGTTTAGTTAGGTGCAGTTATCCCGTTTCCAACGAAATCCTCAGAGAGGTCCAAATATCCACTTGTAGATTCTACAAAAAGTGTGTCTCAAACCTGCTCCATCCAAAGGAATGGTCAGCTCTGTGATTTAAACTCAATCATCACAAAGTATTTTCTGAGAATGCTTCTGTCTGGATTTTATGCGAAGATATACCCGTTTCGAACGAAGGCCACAGAGTGGTCCAAATATCCACTTGCAGATCCTACAAAAAGAGTGTTTCAAACCTGAACTATCAAAGGAAGGTTCAACTCTGGGATTTGAATGCAAACATCACCAAGAAGTTTCTGAGAATGCTTCTGTTTAGTTTTTATGTGAAGATATTCCCGTTTCCAAAGACATCTTCGGAGAGGTCCACATATCCACTTGCAGATTCCACAAAAAGAGAGTTTCAACACTGCTCTATCCATAGGAGGGTTCAACTCTGTGAGTTGAATGCAATCATCACAGAGAAGTTTCTGAGAAGGCTTCTCTCCAGTTTTTATGTGACCATAATTCGTTTTCCACCACAGGCCTGAAAGCGCTCCAAATGTCCACTTGCAGACACTACGAAAAGCATGTTTCAGAACTACTCTATGAAAAGCAACGTGAAACTCTGGGAGTTGAACACAAACATCACAGAGAAGTTTCTGAGAATGCTTCTGTTTTAGTTCTGTGCGTTTTATCCCGTTTCCAACGAAATCCTCAGAGAGGCCCAAATATCCACTTGCAGATTCCACAGAAAGAGTGATTGGAAACTGCTGTTTGAAAAGGAACCTTCAACTCTGTGAGTTGAATGCAATCATCACAAAGAAGTTTCTGACAATGCTTCTATCTAGCTTTTACGGGAAGATAATTCCTTTTCCACCACAGGCCTCAAAGCTCCCCAAATGTCCACTTGCACATTCTGGAAAAAGAGTGTTTCAAAGCTTCTCTCTCGAAAGGAAAGTTCAACTCTGTGAGTTGAATGCAAGCATCACAAAGAAGTTTCTGAGAATGCTACTGTATAGCTTGTCTATGAAGCTATTTCCTTTACTACCATAGTCCTCAAAGCATTCCATATCTGCACTTGCAGATTCTACACAAAGAGAGTTTCCAAACTGCTCTGTCAAAGGGAATGTTCAGCTCTGTGACTTGAATGCAATCATCACAAAGTAGTTTCTGAGAATGCTTCTGTTTAGTTCTGTGCGGTTTATCCCGTTTCCAACGAAATCCTCAGAGAGGCCCAAATATCCACTTGCACATTCTACAAATAGTGTGTTTCGAAACTGCTCCATCCAAAGGAATGTTCAGCTCTGTGAGTTAAACTCAGTCGTCACCAAGAGTTTTCTGTGAATGCTTCTGTTTAGTTCTGTGCGGTTTATCCCGTTTCCAACGAAATCCTCAGAGAGGTCCAAATATCTACTTGCAGTTTCTACAGAAAGACCGTTTCAAACCTGAACTATCAAAGAAAGGTTCAACACTGTGAGTTGAATGCAAACATCACGAAGAAGGTTCTGAGAATGCTTCTGTCTTCTTTCTATAGGAAGTTATTTCCTTTACTACGGTAGGCCTCAAAGAAGTGCAATTATCCCCTTGCAGTTTCTACAAAAAGAGTGTTTCAAACCTGAACTATCAAAGAAAGGTTCCACACTGTGAGTTGAATGCAGACATCACGAAGAGGGTTCTGAGAATGCTTCTGTCTTCTTTCTATAGGAAGTTATTTCCTTTACTACGGTAGGCCTCAAAGAAGTGCAATTATCCCCTTGCAGTTTCTACAAAAAGAGTGTTTCAAACCTGAACTATCAAAGAAAGGTTCCACACTGTGAGTTGAATGCAGACATCACGAAGAAGGTTCTGAGAATGCTTCTGTTTAGTCAGCTGAAATTATCCCGTTTCCAACGAATTCCTCAGAGAGGTCCAAATATGCACTTGCAGATTCTGCAGAAAGTGTGTTTCTAAACTGCTACATCGCAAGGAATGTTCAGCTCTGTGAGTTCCACTCAATCATCCCAAAGAATTTTCTGAGAAAGCTTCTGTCTAGATGTCATGTGAAGATATACCCGTTTCGAACGAAGGACACAGAGTGGTCCAAATATCCACTTGTAGATCCTGCAAAAAGAGTGTTTCAAACGTGAACTTTGAAAGAAAAGTTCAACTCTGGGATTTGAATGCAAACATCACAAAGAAGATTCTGAGACTGCTTCTGTATAGTTTTTATGTGAAGATGATTCCGTTTCCAACGAAATCTTCAAAGAGGTCTACATGTCCCCTTGCAGATGCCACAGAAAGAGAGTTTCAAAACTGCGCTCTCAAAAGGAGTGTTCAACTCCGTGAGTTGAATGCAGTCATCACAGAGAAGCTTCTGAGAATGCTTCTATCTAGTATTTAGGTGAAGATATTTCCTTTTCCACCACAAACCACAAAGCCCTCCAAACGTCCACTTGCAGATTCTAGAAAAAGAGTGTTTCATAGCTGCTCTTTCCAAAGGAAAGTTCAACTCTGGGAGTTGAATACAAACATCACCAAAAAGTTCCTGAGAATGCATCTGTCTAGTTTTTCTATGAAGCTATTCCCTTTACTACCACAGGCCTCAAAGCGCTCCAAATCTCCACTTGCACATTCCACAACAAGAGTGTTTCCAAACTGCTCTATCAATAGGAATGTTCAACTCTGTGAGGTGAATGCAATCATCACAAAGCAGTTTCTGAGAATGCTTCCGTTTAGTTAGGTGCAGTTATCGCGTTTCCAACGAAATCCTCAGAGAGGTCCAAATATCCACTTGTAGATTCTACAAAAAGTGTGTCTCAAACCTGCTCCATCCAAAGGAATGTTCAGCTCTGTGAGTTAAACTCAATCATCACAAAGTATTTTCTGAGAATGCTTCTGTCTAGATTTTATGCGAAGATATACCCGTTTCGAACGAAGGCCACAGAGTGGTCCAAATATCCACTTGCAGATCCTACAAAAAGAGTGTTTCAAACCTGAACTATCAAAGGAAGGTTCAACTCTGGGATTTGAATGCAAACATCACCAAGAAGTTTCTGAGAATGCTTCTGTTTAGTTTTTATGTGAAGATACCCCGTTTCCAAAGACATCTTCGGAGAGGTCCACATATCCACTTGCAGATTCCACAAAAAGAGAGTTTCAACACTGCTCTATCCATAGGACGGTTCAACTCTGTGAGTTGAATGCAATCATCACAGAGAAGTTTCTGAGAAGGCTTCTCTCCAGTTTTTATGTGACCATAATTCGTTTTCCACCACAGGCCTGAAAGCGCTCCAAATGTCCACTTGCAGACACTACGAAAAGCATGTTTCAGAACTACTCTATGAAAAGCAACGTGAAACTCTGGGAGTTGAACACAAACATCACAGAGAAGTTTCTGAGAATGCTTCTGTTTAGCTTTTCTGTGAAGATTCTCCCGTTTCCAACGAAATCTTCAAAGGAGGTCCAAATATCCACTTGCAGATTCCACAGAAAGAGTGATTGGAAACTGCTCTTTGAAAAGGAACCTTCAACTCTGTGACTTGAATGCAATCATCACAAAGAAGTCTCTGACAATGCTTCTATCTAGCTTTTACGGGAAGATAATTCCTTTTCCACCACAGGCCTCAAAGCTCCCCAAATGTCCACTTGCACATTCTGGAAAAAGAGTGTTTCAAAGCTTCTCTCTCGAAAGGAAAGTTCAACTCTGTGAGTTGAATGCAAGCATCACAAAGAAGTTTCTGAGAATGCTACTGTCTAGCTTTTATATGAAGCTATTTCCTTTACTACCATAGGCCTCAAAGCGGTCCATATCTCCACTTGCAGATTCTACACAAAGAGAGTTTCCAAACTGCTCTGTCAAAGGGAATGTTCAACTCTGTGACTTGAATGCAATCATCACAAAGTAGTTTCTGAGAATGCTTCTGTTTAGTTCTGTGCGGTTTATCCCGTTTCCAACGAAATCCTCAGAGAGGCCTAAATATCCACTTGCACATTCTACAAATAGTGTGTTTCGAAACTGCTCCATCCAAAGGAATGTTCAGCTCTGTGAGTTAAACTCAGTCGTCACCAAGAGTTTTCTGTGAATGCTTCTGTTTTAGTTCTGTGCGGTTTATCCCGTTTCCAACGAAATCCTCAGAGAGGTCCAAATATCTACTTGCAGTTTCTACAGAAAGACCGTTTCAAACCTGAACTATCAAAGAAAGGTTCAACACTGTGAGTTGAATGCAAACATCACGAAGAAGGTTCTGAGAATGCTTCTGTTTAGTTCTGTGCGGTTTATCCCGTTTCCAAAGAAATCCTCAGAGAGGACCAAATATCCACTTGCAGTTTCTACAAAAAGAGTGTTTCAAAGCTGAACTATCAAAGAAAGGTTCAGCACCGTGAGTTGAATGCAAACATCACGAAGAGGGTTCTGAGAATGCTTCTGTCTTCTTTCTATAGGAAGTTATTTACTTTACTACGGTAGGCCTCAAAGAAGTGCAATTATCCCCTTGCAGTTTCTACAAAAAGAGTGTTTCAAACCTGAACTATCAAAGAAAGGTTCCACACTGTGAGTTGAATGCAGACATCACGAAGAAGGTTCTGAGAATGCTTCTGTTTAGTCAGCTGAAATTATCCCGTTTCCAACGAATTCCTCAGAGAGGTCCAAATATGCACTTGCACATTCTGCAGAAAGTGTGTTTCTAAACTGCTACATCGCAAGGAATGTTCAGCTCTGTGAGTTCCACTCAATCATCCCAAAGAATTTTCTGAGAAAGCTTCTGTCTAGATGTCATGTGAAGATATACCCGTTTCGAACGAAGGACACAGAGTGGTCCAAATATCCACTTGTAGATCCTGCAAAAAGAGTGTTTCAAACGTGAACTTTGAAAGGAAAGTTCAACTCTGGGATTTGAATGCAAACATCACAAAGAAGATTCTGAGACTGCTTCTGTATAGTTTTTATGTGAAGATGATTCCGTTTCCAACGAAATCTTCAAAGAGGTCTACATGTCCCCTTGCAGATGCCACAGAAAGAGAGTTTCAAAACTGCGCTCTCAAAAGGAGTGTTCAACTCCGTGAGTTGAATGCAGTCATCACAGAGAAGCTTCTGAGAATGCTTCTATCTAGTATTTAGGTGAAGATATTTCCTTTTCCACCACAAACCACAAAGCCCTCCAAACGTCCACTTGCAGATTCTAGAAAAAGAGTGTTTCATAGCTGCTCTTTCCAAAGGAAAGTTCAACTCTGGGAGTTGAATACAAACATCACCAAAAAGTTCCTGAGAATGCATCTGTCTAGTTTTTCTATGAAGCTATTCCCTTTACTACCATAGGCCTCAAAGCGCTCCAAATCTCCACTTGCACATTCCACAACAAGAGTGTTTCCAAACTGCTCTATCAATAGGAATGTTCAACTCTGTGAGGTGAATGCAATCATCACAAAGCAGTTTCTGAGAATGCTTCCGTTTAGTTAGGTGCAGTTATCCCGTTTCCAACGAAATCCTCAGAGAGGTCCAAATATCCACTTGTAGATTCTACAAAAAGTGTGTCTCAAACCTGCTCCATCCAAAGGAATGGTCAGCTCTGTGATTTAAACTCAATCATCACAAAGTATTTTCTGAGAATGCTTCTGTCTAGATTTTATGCGAAGATATACCCGTTTCGAACGAAGGCCACAGAGTGGTCCAAATAGCCACTTGCAGATCCTACAGAAAGAGTGTTTCAAACCTGAACTATCAAAGGAAGGTTCAACTCTGGGATTTGAATGCAAACATCACCAAGAAGTTTCTGAGAATGCTTCTGTTTAGTTTTTATGTGACGATATTCCCGTTTCCAAAGACATCTTCGGAGAGGTCCACATATCCACTTGCAGATTCCACAAAAAGAGAGTTTCAACACTGCTCTATCCATAGGAGGGTTCAACTCTGTGAGTTGAATGCAATCATCACAGAGAAGTTTCTGAGAAGGCTTCTCTCCAGTTTTTATGTGACCATAATTCGTTTTCCACCACAGGCCTGAAAGCGCTCCAAACGTCCACTTGCAGACACTACAAAAAGCATGTTTCAGAACTAGTCTATGAAAAGCAATGTGAAACTCTGGGAGTTGAACACAAACATCACAGAGAAGTTTCTGAGAAAGCTTCTGTTTAGCTTTTCTGTGAAGATTATCCCGTTTCCAACGAAATCTTCAAAGAGGTCCAAATATCCACTTGCAGATTCCACAGAAAGAGTGTTTGGAAACTGCTGTTTGAAAAGGAACCTTCAACTCTGTGAGTTGAATGCAATCATCACGAAGAAGTTTCTGACAATGCTTCTATCTAGCTTTTACGGGAAGATAATTCCTTTTCCACCACAGGCCTCAAAGCCCTCCAAATGTCCACTTGCAGATTCTGGAAAAAGAGTGTTTCAAAGCTTCTCTCTCGAAAGAAAAGTTCAACTCTGTGAGTTGAATGCAAGCATCACAAAGAAGTTTCTGAGAATGCTACTGTCTAGCTTTTATATGAAGCTATTTCCTTTACTACCATAGGCCTCAAAGCGGTCCATATCTCCACTTGCAGATTCTACACAAAGAGAGTTTCCAAACTGCTCTGTCAAAGGGAATGTTCAACTCTGTGACTTGAATGCAATCATCACAAAGTAGTTTCTGAGAATGCTTCTGTTTAGTTCTGTGCGGTTTATCCCGTTTCCAACGAAATCCTCAGAGAGGCCTAAATATCCACTTGCACATTCTACAAATAGTGTGTTTCGAAACTGCTCCATCCAAAGGAATGTTCAGCTCTGTGAGTTAAACTCAGTCGTCACCAAGAGTTTTCTGTGAATGCTTCTGTTTTAGTTCTGTGCGGGTTATCCCGTTTCCAACGAAATCCTCAGAGAGGTCCAAATATCTACTTGCAGTTTCTACAGAAAGACCGTTTCAAACCTGAACTATCAAAGAAAGGTTCAACACTGTGAGTTGAATGCAAACATCACGAAGAAGGTTCTGAGAATGCTTCTGTTTAGTTCTGTGCGGTTTATCCCGTTTCCAACGAAATCCTCAGAGAGGACCAAATATCCACTTGCAGTTTCTACAAGAAGAGTGTTTCAAAGCTGAACTATCAAAGAAAGGTTCAGCACTGTGAGTTGAATGCAAACATCACGAAGAGGGTTCTGAGAATGCTTCTGTCTTCTTTTTAAAGGAAGTTATTTCCTTTACTACGGTACTCCTCAAAGAGTGCAATTATCCCCTTGCAGTTTGTACAAAAAGAGTTTTTAAAACCTGAACTATCAAAGAAAGGTTCCACACTTTGAGTTGAATGCAGACATCACGAAGAAGGTTCTGAGAATGCTTCTGTTTAGTCAGCTGAAATTATCCCGTTTCCAACGAATTCCTCAGAGAGGTCCACATATGCACTTGCAGATTCTGCAGAAAGTGTGTTTCTAAACTGCTACATCGCAAGGAATGCTCAGCTCTGTGAGTTCAACTCAATCATCCCAAAGAATTTTCTGAGAAAGCTTCTGTCTAGATGTCATGTGAAGATATACCCGTTTCGAACTTAGGACACAGAGTGGTCCAAATATCCACTTGTAGATCCTGCAAAAGAGTGTGTCAAACGTGAACTTTGAAAGGAAAGTTCAACTCTGGGATTTGAATGCAAACATCACAAAGAAGATTCTGAGACTGCTTCTGTATAGTTTTTATGTGAAGATGATTCCGTTTCCAACGAAATCTTCAAAGAGGTCTACATGTCCCCTTGCAGATGCCACAGAAAGAGAGTTTCAAAACTGCGCTCTCAAAAGGAGTGTTCAACTCCGTGAGTTGAATGCAGTCATCACAGAGAAGCTTCTGAGAATGCTTCTATCTAGTATTTAGGTGAAGATATTTCCTTTTCCACCACAAACCACAAAGCCCTCCAAACGTCCACTTGCAGATTCTAGAAAAAGAGTGTTTCATAGCTGCTCTTTCCAAAGGAAAGTTCAACTCTGGGAGTTGAATACAAACATCACCAAAAAGTTCCTGAGAATGCATCTGTCTAGTTTTTCTATGAAGCTATTCCCTTTACTACCATAGGCCTCAAAGCGCTCCAAATCTCCACTTGCACATTCCACAACAAGAGTGTTTCCAAACTGCTCTATCAATAGGAATGTTCAACTCTGTGAGGTGAATGCAATCATCACAAAGCAGTTTCTGAGAATGCTTCCGTTTACTTAGGTGCAGTTCTCCCGTTTCCAACGAAATCCTCAGAGAGGTCCAAATATCCACTTGTAGATTCTACAAAAAGTGTGTCTCAAACCTGCTCCATCCAAAGGAATGTTCAGCTCTGTGATTTAAACTCAATCATCACAAAGTATTTTCTGAGAATGCTTCTGTCTAGATTTTATGCGAAGATATACCCGTTTCGAACGAAGGCCACAGAGTGGTCCAAATAGCCACTTGCAGATCCTACAAAAAGAGTGTTTCAAACCTGAACTATCAAAGGAAGGTTCAACTCTGGGATTTGAATGCAAACATCACCAAGAAGTTTCTGAGAATGCTTCTGTTTAGTTTTTATGTGAAGATATTCCCGTTTCCAAAGACATCTTCGGAGAGGTCCACATATCCACTTGCAGATTCCACAAAAAGAGAGTTTCAACACTGCTCTATCCATAGGAGGGTTCAACTCTGTGAGTTGAATGCAATCATCACAGAGAAGTTTCTGAGAAGGCTTCTCTCCAGTTTTTATGTGACCATAATTCGTTTTCCACCACAGGCCTGAAAGCGCTCCAAATGTCCACTTGCAGACACTACGAAAAGCATGTTTCAGAACTACTCTATGAAAAGCAACGTGAAACTCTGGGAGTTGAACACAAACATCACAGAGAAGTTTCTGAGAATGCTTCTGTTTTAGTTCTGTGCGTTTTATCCCGTTTCCAACGAAATCCTCAGAGAGGCCCAAATATCCACTTGCAGATTCCACAGAAAGAGTGATTGGAAACTGCTGTTTGAAAAGGAACCTTCAACTCTGTGAGTTGAATGCAATCATCACAAAGAAGTTTCTGACAATGCTTCTATCTAGCTTTTACGGGAAGATAATTCCTTTTCCACCACAGGCCTCAAAGCTCCCCAAATGTCCACTTGCACATTCTGGAAAAAGAGTGTTTCAAAGCTTCTCTCTCGAAAGGAAAGTTCAACTCTGTGAGTTGAATGCAAGCATCACAAAGAAGTTTCTGAGAATGCTACTGTCTAGCTTTTATATGAAGGTATTTCCTTTACTACCATAGGCCTCAAAGCGGTCCATATCTCCACTTGCAGATTCTACACAAAGAGAGTTTCCAAACTGCTCTGTCAAAGGGAATGTTCAACTCTGTGACTTGAATGCAATCATCACAAAGTAGTTTCTGAGAATGCTTCTGTTTAGTTCTGTGCGGTTTATCCCGTTTCCAACGAAATCCTCAGAGAGGCCCAAATATCCACTTGCACATTCTACAAATAGTGTGTTTCGAAACTGCTCCATCCAAAGGAATGTTCAGCTCTGTGAGTTAAACTCAGTCGTCACCAAGAGTTTTCTGTGAATGCTTCTGTTTTAGTTCTGTGCGGTTTATCCCGTTTCCAACGAAATCCTCAGAGAGGTCCAAATATCTACTTGCAGTTTCTACAGAAAGACCGTTTCCAACCTGAACTATCAAAGAAAGGTTCAACACTGTGAGTTGAATGCAAACATCACGAAGAAGGTTCTGAGAATGCTTCTGTTTTAGTTCTGTGCGGTTTATCCCGTTTCCAACGAAATCCTCAGAGAGGACCAAACATCCACTTGCAGTTTCTACAAAAAGAGTGTTTCAAAGCTGCACTATCAAAGAAAGGTTCAGCACTGTGAGTTGAATGCAAACATCACGAAGAGGGCTCTGAGAATTCTTCTGTCTTCTTTCTATAGGAAGTTATTTCCTTTACTACGGTAGGCCTCAAAGAAGTGCAATTATCCCCTTGCAGTTTCTACAAAAAGAGTGTTTCAAACCTGAACTATCAAAGAAAGGTTCCACACTGTGAGTTGAATGCAGACATCACGAAGAAGGTTCTGAGAATGCTTCTGTTTAGTCAGCTGAAATTATCCCGTTTCCAACGAATTCCTCAGAGAGGTCCAAATATGCACTTGCAGATTCTGCAGAAAGTGTGTTTCTAAACTGCTACATCGCAAGGAATGTTCAGCTCTGTGAGTTCCACTCAATCATCCCAAAGAATTTTCTGAGAAAGCTTCTGTCTAGATGTCATGTGAAGATATACCCGTTTCGAACGAAGGACACAGAGTGGTCCAAATATCCACTTGTAGATCCTGCAAAAAGAGTGTTTCAAACGTGAACTTTGAAAGGAAAGTTCAACTCTGGGATTTGAATGCAAACATCACAAAGAAGATTCTTGAGACTGCTTCTGTATAGTTTTGATGTGAAGATGATTCCGTTTCCAACGAAATCTTCAAAGAGGTCTACATGTCCCCTTGCAGATGCCAGAGAAAGAGAGTTTCAAAACTGCGCTCTCAAAAGGAGTGTTCAACTCCGTGATTTGAATGCAGTCATCACAGAGAAGCTTCTGAGAATGCTTCTATCTAGTATTTAGGTGAAGATATTTCCTTTTCCACCACAAACCACAAAGCCCTCCAAACGTCCACTTGCAGATTCTAGAAAAAGAGTGTTTCATAGCTGCTCTTTCCAAAGGAAAGTTCAACTCTGGGAGTTGAATACAAACATCACCAAAAAGTTCCTGAGAATGCATCTGTCTAGTTTTTCTATGAAGCTATTCCCTTTACTACCACAGGCCTCAAAGCGCTCCAAATCTCCACTTGCACATTCCACAACAAGAGTGTTTCCAAACTGCTCTATCAATAGGAATGTTCAACTCTGTGAGGTGAATGCAATCATCACAAAGCAGTTTCTGAGAATGCTTCCCGTTTAGTTAGGTGCAGTTATCCCGTTTCCAACGAAATCCTCAGAGAGGTCCAAATATCCACTTGTAGATTCTACAAAAAGTGTGTCTCAAACCTGCTCCATCCAAAGGAATGTTCAGCTCTGTGAGTTAAACTCAATCATCACAAAGTATTTTCTGAGAATGCTTCTGTCTAGATGTTATGTGAAGATGTACCCGTTTCGAACGAAGGCCACAGAGTGGTCCAAATATCCACTTGCAGATCGTACAGAAAGAGTGTTTCAAACCTGACCTATCAAAAGAAGGTTCAACTCTGGGATTTGAATGCAAACATCACAAAGAAGTTTCTGAGAATGCTTCTATCTAGTTTTTACGGGAAGATAATTCCCTTTCCACCACAGGCCTCAAAGCCCTCCAAATATCCACTTGCAGATTCCACAAAATGAGAGATTTAAAACTGCTGTAACCGTAGGAGGGTTCAACTCTGTGAGTTGAATGCAATCATCACAGAGAAGTTTCTGAGAAGTCTTCTCTCCAGTTTTTATGTGACCATAATTCGTTTTCCACCACAGGCCTGAAAGCGCTCCAAATGTCCACTTGCAGACACTACGAAAAGCATGTTTCAGAACTACTCTATGAAAAGCAACGTGAAACTCTGGGAGTTGAACACAAACATCACAGAGAAGTTTCTGAGAATGCTTCTGTTTAGCTTTTCTGTGAAGATTCTCCCGTTTCCAACGAAATCTTCCAAGAGGTCCAAATATCCACTTGCAGATTCCACAGAAAGAGTGATTGGAAACTGCTTTTTGAAAAGGAACCTTCAACTCTGTGACTTGAATGCAATCATCACAAAGAAGTTTCTGACAATGCTTCTATCTAGCTTTTACGGGAAGATAATTCCTTTTCCACCACAGGCCTCAAAGCCCTCCAAATGTCCACTTGCAGATTCTGGAAAAAGAGTGTTTCAAAGCTTCTCTCTCGAAAGGAAAGTTCAACTCTGTGAGTTGAATGCAAGCATCACAAAGAAGTTTCTGAGAATGCTACTGTCTAGCTTTTATATGAAGCTATTTCCTTTACTACCATAGTCCTCAAAGCGGTCCATATCTCCACTTTGCAGATTCTACACAAAGAGAGTTTCCAAACTGCTCTGTCAACGGGAATGTTCAACTCTGTGACTTGAATGCAATCATCACAAAGTAGTTTCTGAGAATGCTTCTGTTTAGTTCTGTGCGGTTTATCCCGTTTCCAACGAAATCCTCAGAGAGGCCCACATATCCACTTGCACATTCTACAAATAGTGTGTTTCGAAACTGCTCCATCCAAAGGAATGTTCAGCTCTGTGAGTTAAACTCAGTCGTCACCAAGAGTTTTCTGTGAATGCTTCTGTTTTAGTTCTGTGCGGGTTATCCCGTTTCCAACGAAATCCTCAGAGAGGTCCAAATATCTACTTGCAGTTTCTACAGAAAGACCGTTTCAAACCTGAACTATCAAAGAAAGGTTCAACACTGTGAGTTGAATGCAAACATCACGAAGAAGGTTCTGAGAATGCTTCTGTTTAGTTCTGTGCGGTTTATCCCGTTTCCAACGAAATCCTCAGAGAGGACCAAATATCCACTTGCAGTTTCTACAAAAAGAGTGTTTCAAAGCTGAACTATCAAAGAAAGGTTCAGCACTGTGAGTTGAATGCAAACATCACGAAGAGGGTTCTGAGAATGCTTCTGTCTTCTTTTTATAGGAAGTTATTTCCTTTACTACGGTAGGCCTCAAAGAAGTGCAATTATACCCTTGCAATTTCTACAAAAAGAGTGTTTCAAACCTGAACTATCAAAGAAAGGTTCCACACTGTGAGTTGAATGCAGACATCACGAAGAAGGTTCTGAGAATGCTTCTGTTTAGTCAGCTGAAATTATCCCGTTTCCAACGAATTCCTCAGAGAGGTCCACATATGCACTTGCAGATTCTGCAGAAAGTGTGTTTCTAAACTGCTACATCGCAAGGAATGTTCAGCTCTGTTTGCTCAACTCAATCATCCCAAAGAATTTTCTGAGAAAGCTTCTGTCTAGATGTCATGTGAAGATATACCCGTTTCGAACGAAGGACACAGAGTGGTCCAAATATCCACTTGTAGATCCTGCAAAAAGAGTGTTTCAAACGTGAACTTTGAAAGGAAAGTTCAACTCTGGGATTTGAATGCAAACACCACAAAGAAGATTCTGAGACTGCTTCCGTTTAGTTTTTATGTGAAGATATTCCCGTTTCCAAAGACATCTTCAAAGAGGTCCACATATCCACTTGCGGATGCCACAGAAAGAGAGTTTCAAAACTGCGCTCTCAAGAGGAGTGTTCAACTCCGTGAGTTGAATGCAGTCATCACAGAGAAGCTTCTGAGAATGCTTCTATCTAGTATTTAGGTGAAGATATTTCCTTTTCCACCACAAACCACAAAGCCCTCCAAACGTCCACTTGCAGATTCTAGAAAAAGAGTGTTTCATAGCTGCTCTTTCCAAAGGAAAGTTCAACTCTGGGAGTTGAATACAAACATCACCAAAAAGTTCCTGAGAATGCATCTGTCTAGTTTTTCTATGAAGCTATTCCCTTTACTACCACAGGCCTCAAAGCGCTCCAAATCTCCACTTGCACATTCCGCAACAAGAGTGTTTCCAAACTGCTCTATCAATAGGAATGTTCAACTCTGTGAGGTGAATGCAATCATCACAAAGCAGTTTCTGAGAATGCTTCCGTTTAGTTAGGTGCAGTTATCGCGTTTCCAACGAAATCCTCAGAGAGGTCCAAATATCCACTTGTAGATTCTACAAAAAGTGTGTCTCAAACCTGCTCCATCCAAAGGAATGTTCAGCTCTGTGAGTTAAACTCAATCATCACAAAGTATTTTCTGAGAATGCTTCTGTCTAGATTTTATGCGAAGATATACCCGTTTCGAACGAAGGCCACAGAGTGGTCCAAATAGCCACTTGCAGATCCTACAGAAAGAGTGTTTCAAACCTGAACTATCAAAGGAAGGTTCAACTCTGGGATTTGAATGCAAACATCACCAAGAAGTTTCTGAGAATGCTTCTGTTTAGTTTTTATGTGAAGATATTCCCGTTTCCAAAGACATCTTCGGAGAGGTCCACGTATCCACTTGCAGATTCCACAAAAAGAGAGTTTCAACACTGCTCTATCCATAGGAGGGTTCAACTCTGTGAGTTGAATGCAATCATCACAGAGAAGTTTCTGAGAAGGCTTCTCTCCAGTTTTTATGTGACCATAATTCGTTTTCCACCACAGGCCTGAAAGCGCTCCAAATGTCCACTTGCAGACACTACGAAAAGCATGTTTCAGAACTACTCTATGAGAAGCAATGTGAAACTCTGGGAGTTGAACACAAACATCACAGAGAAGTTTCTGAGAATGCTTCTGTTTTAGTTCTGTGCGTTTTATCCCGTTTCCAACGAAATCCTCAGAGAGGCCCAAATATCCACTTGCAGATTCCACAGAAAGAGTGATTGGAAACTGCTGTTTGAAAAGGAACCTTCAACTCTGTGAGTTGAATGCAATCATCACAAAGAAGTTTCTGACAATGCTTCTATCTAGCTTTTACGGGAAGATAATTCCTTTTCCACCACAGGCCTCAAAGCCCTCCAAATGTCCACTTGCACATTCTGGAAAAAGAGTGTTTCAAAGCTTCTCTCTCGAAAGGAAAGTTCAACTCTGTGAGTTGAATGCAAGCATCACAAAGAAGTTTCTGAGAATGCTACTGTCTAGCTTTTATATGAAGCTATTTCCTTTACTACCATAGGCTTCAAAGCGGTCCATATCTCCACTTGCAGATTCTACACAAAGAGAGTTTCCAAACTGCTCTGTCAAAGGGAATGTTCAACTCTGTGACTTGAATGCAATCATCACAAAGTAGTTTCTGAGAATGCTTCTGTTTAGTTCTGTGCGGTTTATCCCGTTTCCAACGAAATCCTCAGAGAGGCCCACATATCCACTTGCACATTCTACAAATAGTGTGTTTCGAAACTGCTCCATCCAAAGGAATGTTCAGCTCTGTGAGTTAAACTCAGTCGTCACCAAGAGTTTTCTGTGAATGCTTCTGTTTTAGTTCTGTGCGGGTTATCCCGTTTCCAACGAAATCCTCAGAGAGGTCCAAATATCTACTTGCAGTTTCTACAGAAAGACCGTTTCAAACCTGAACTATCAAAGGAAGGTTCAACACTGTGAGTTGAATGCAAACATCACGAAGAAGGTTCTGAGAATGCTTCTGTTTAGTTCTGTGCAGTTTATCCCGTTTCCAAAGAAATCCTCAGAGAGGACCAAATATCCACTTGCAGTTTCTACAAAAAGAGTGTTTCAAAGCTGAACTATCAAAGAAAGATTCAGCACTGTGAGTTGAATGCGAACATCACGAAGAGGGTTCTGAGAATGCTTCTGTCTTCTTTTTATAGGAAGTTATTTCCTTTACTACGGTACTCCTCAAAGAGTGCAATTATCCCCTTGCAGTTTCTACAAAAAGAGTGTTTCAAACCTGAACTATCAAAGAAAGGTTCCACACTGTGAGTTGAATGCAGACATCACGAAGAAGGTTCTGAGAATGCTTCTGTTTAGTCAGCTGAAATTATCCCGTTTCCAACGAATTCCTCACAGAGGTCCAAATATGCACTTGCAGATTCTGCAGAAAGTGTGTTTCTAAACTGCTACATCGCAAGGAATGCTCAGCTCTGTGAGTTCAACTCAATCATCCCAAAGAATTTTCTGAGAAAGCTTCTGTCTAGATGTCATGTGAAGATATACCCGTTTCGAACGAAGGACACAGAGTGGTCCAAATATCCACTTGTAGATCCTGCAAAAAGAGTGTTTCAAACGTGAACTTTGAAAGGAAAGTTCAACTCGGGGATTTGAATGCAAACATCACAAAGAAGATTCTGAGACTGCTTCTGTATAGTTTTTATGTGAAGATGATTCCGTTTCCAACGAAATCTTCAAAGAGGTCTACATGTCCCCTTGCAGATGCCACAGAAAGAGAGTTTCAAAACTGCGCTCTCAAAAGGAGTGTTCAACTCCGTGAGTTGAATGCAGTCATCACAGAGAAGCTTCTGAGGATGCTTCTATCTAGTATTTAGGTGAAGATATTTCCTTTTCCACCACAAACCACAAAGCCCTCCAAACGTCCACTTGCAGATTCTAGAAAAAGAGTGTTTCATAGCTGCTCTTTCCAAAGGAAAGTTCAACTCTGGGAGTTGAATACAAACATCACCAAAAAGTTCCTGAGAATGCATCTGTCTAGTTTTTCTATGAAGCTATTCCCTTTACTACCATAGGCCTCAAAGCGCTCCAAATCTCCACTTGCACATTCCACAACAAGAGTGTTTCCAAACTGCTCTATCAAGAGGAATGTTCAACTCTGTGAGGTGAATGCAATCATCACAAAGCAGTTTCTGAGAATGCTTCCGTTTAGTTAGGTGCAGTTATCCCGTTTCCAACGAAATCCTCAGAGAGGTCCAAATATCCACTTGTAGATTCTACAAAAAGTGTGTCTCAAACCTGCTCCATCCAAAGGAATGTTCAGCTCTGTGAGTTCAACTCAATCATCACAAAGTATTTTCTGAGAATGCTTCTGTCTAGATTTTATGCGAAGATATACCCGTTTCGAACGAAGGCCACAGAGTGGTCCAAATAGCCACTTGCAGATCCTACAGAAAGAGTGTTTCAAACCTGAACTATCAAAGGAAGGTTCAACTCTGGGATTTGAATGCAAACATCACCAAGAAGTTTCTGAGAATGCTTCTGTTTAGTTTTTATGTGAAGATATTCCCGTTTCCAAAGACATCTTCGGAGAGGTCCACATATCCGCTTGCAGATTCCACAAAAAGAGAGTTTCAACACTGCTCTATCCATAGGAGGGTTCAACTCTGTGAGTTGAATGCAATCATCACAGAGAAGTTTCTGAGAAGGCTTCTCTCCAGTTTTTATGTGACCATAATTCGTTTTCCACCACAGGCCTGAAAGCGCTCCAAATGTCCACTTGCAGACACTACGAAAAGCATGTTTCAGAACTACTCTATGAGAAGCAATGTGAAACTCTGGGAGTTGAACACAAACATCACAGAGAAGTTTCTGAGATTGCTTCCGTTTAGCTTTTCTGTGAAGATTCTCCCGTTTCCAACGAAATCTTCAAAGAGGTCCAAATATCCACTTGCAGATTCCACAGAAAGAGTGTTTGGAAACTGCTGTTTGAAAAGGAACCTTCAACTCTGTGAGTTGAATGCAATCATCACAAAGAAGTTTCTGACAATGCTTCTATCTAGCTTTTACGGGAAGATAATTCCTTTTCCACCACAGGCCTCAAAGCCCTCCAAATGTCCACTTGCAGATTCTGGAAAAATAGTGTTTCAAAGCTTCTCTCTCGAAAGGAAAGTTCAACTCTGTGAGTTGAATGCAAGCATCACAAAGAAGTTTCTGAGAATGCTACTGTCTAGCTTTTATATGAAGCTATTTCCTTTACTACCATAGGCCTCAAAGCGGTCCATATCTCCACTTGCAGATTCTACACAAAGAGAGTTTCCAAACTGCTCTGTCAAAGGGAATGTTCAACTCTGTGACTTGAATGCAATCATCACAAAGTAGTTTCTGAGAATGCTTCTGTTTTAGTTCTGTGCGGTTTATCCCGTTTCCAACGAAATCCTCAGAGAGGCCCAAATATCCACTTGCAGATTCTACAAATAGTGTGTTTCGAAACTGCTCCATCCAAAGGAATGTTCAGCTCTGTGAGTTAAACTCAGTCGTCACCAAGAGTTTTCTGTGAATGCTTCTGTTTTAGTTCTGTGCGGTTTATCCCGTTTCCAACGAAATCCTCAGAGAGGTCCAAATATCTACTTGCAGTTTCTACAGAAAGACCGTTTCAAACCTGAACTATCAAAGAAAGGTTCAACACTGTGAGTTGAATGCAAACATCACGAAGAAGGTTCTGAGAATGCTTCTGTTTAGTTCTGTGCGGTTTATCCCGTTTCCAACGAAATCCTCAGAGAGGACCAAATATCCACTTGCAGTTTCTACAAAAAGAGTGTTTCAAAGCTGAACTATCAAAGAAAGGTTCAGCACTGTGAGTTGAATGCAAACATCACGAAGAGGGTTCTGAGAATGCTTCTGTCTTCTTTCTATAGGAAGTTATTTCCTTTACTACGGTAGGCCTCAAAGAAGTGCAATTATCCCCTTGCAGTTTCTACAAAAAGAGTGTTTCAAACCTGAACTATCAAAGAAAGGTTCCACACTGTGAGTTGAATGCAGACATCACGAAGAAGGTTCTGAGAATGCTTCTGTTTAGTCAGCTGAAATTATCCCGTTTCCAACGAATTCCTCAGAGAGGTCCAAATATGCACTTGCAGATTCTGCAGAAAGTGTGTTTCTAAACTGCTACATCGCAAGGAATGTTCAGCTCTGTGAGTTCCACTCAATCATCCCAAAGAATTTTCTGAGAAAGCTTCTGTCTAGATGTCATGTGAAGATATACCCGTTTCGAACGAAGGACACAGAGTGGTCCAAATATCCACTTGTAGATCCTGCAAAAAGAGTGTTTCAAACGTGAACTTTGAAAGGGAAGTTCAACTCTGGGATTTGAATGCAAACATCACAAAGAAGATTCTGAGACTGCTTCTGTATAGTTTTTATGCGAAGATGATTCCGTTTCCAACGAAATCTTCAAAGAGGTCTACATGTCCCCTTGCAGATGCCACAGAAAGAGAGTTTCAAAACTGCGCTCTCAAAAGGAGTGTTCAACTCCGTGAGTTGAATGCAGTCATCACAGAGAAGCTTCTGAGAATGCTTCTATCTAGTATTTAGGTGAAGATATTTCCTTTTCCACCACAAACCACAAAGCCCTCCAAACGTCCACTTGCAGATTCTAGAAAAAGAGTGTTTCATAGCTGCTCTTTCCAAAGGAAAGTTCAACTCTGGGAGTTGAATACAAACATCACCAAAAAGTTCCTGAGAATGCATCTGTCTAGTTTTTCTATGAAGCTATTCCCTTTACTACCATAGACCTCAAAGCGCTCCAAATCTCCACTTGCACATTCCACAACAAGAGTGTTTCCAAACTGCTCTATCAATAGGAATGTTCAACTCTGTGAGGTGAATGCAATCATCACAAAGCAGTTTCTGAGAATGCTTCCGTTTAGTTAGGTGCAGTTATCCCGTTTCCAACGAAATCCTCAGAGAGGTCCAAATATCCACTTGTAGATTCTACAAAAAGTGTGTCTCAAACCTGCTCCATCCAAAGGAATGGTCAGCTCTGTGATTTAAACTCAATCATCACAAAGTATTTTCTGAGAATGCTTCTGTCTAGATTTTATGCGAAGATGTACCCGTTTCGAACGAAGGCCACAGAGTGGTCCAAATATCCACTTGCAGATCCTACAAAAAGAGTGTTTCAAACCTGAACTCTCAAAGGAAGGTTCAACTCTGGGATTTGAATGCAAACATCACCAAGAAGTTTCTGAGAATGCTTCTGTTTAGTTTTTATGTGAAGATATTCCCGTTGCCAAAGACATCTTCGGAGAGGTCCACATATCCGCTTGCAGATTCCACAAAAAGAGAGTTTCAACACTGCTCTATCCATAGGAGGGTTCAACTCTGTGAGTTGAATGCAATCATCACAGAGAAGTTTCTGAGAAGGCTTCTCTCCAGTTTTTATGTGACCATAATTCGTTTTCCACCACAGGCCTGAAAGCGCTCCAAATGTCCACTTGCAGACACTACGAAAAGCATGTTTCAGAACTACTCTATGAAAAGCAACGTGAAACTCTGGGAGTTGAACACAAACATCAGAGAGAAGTTTCTGAGAATGCTTCTGTTTGAGTTCTGTGCGTTTTATCCCGTTTCCAACGAAATCCTCAGAGAGGCCCAAATATCCACTTGCAGATTCCACAGAAAGAGTGATTGGAAACTGCTGTTTGAAAAGGAACCTTCAACTCTGTGAGTTGAATGCAATCATCACAAAGAAGTTTCTGAGAATGCTTCTATCTAGCTTTTACGGGAAGATAATTCCTTTTCCACCACAGGCCTCAAAGCCCTCCAAATGTCCACTTGCAGATTCTGGAAAAAGAGTGTTTCAAAGCTTCTCTCTCGAAAGGAAAGTTCAACTCTGTGAGTTGAATGCAAGCATCACAAAGAAGTTTCTGAGAATGCTACTGTCTAGCTTTTATATGAAGCTATTTCCTTTACTACCATAGGCCTCAAAGCGGTCCATATCTCCACTTGCAGATTCTACACAAAGAGAGTTTCCAAACTGCTCTGTCAAAGGGAATGTTCAACTCTGTGACTTGAATGCAATCATCACAAAGTAGTTTCTGAGAATGCTTCTGTTTTAGTTCTGTGCGGTTTATCCCGTTTCCAACGAAATCCTCAGAGAGGCCCACATATCCACTTGCAGATTCTACAAATAGTGTGTTTTGAAACTGCTCCATCCAAAGGAATGTTCAGCTCTGTGAGTTAAACTCAGTCGTCACCAAGAGTTTTCTGTGAATGCTTCTGTTTTAGTTCTGTGCGGGTTATCCCGTTTCCAACGAAATCCTCAGAGAGGTCCAAATATCTACTTGCAGTTTCTACAGAAAGACCGTTTGAAACCTGAACTATCAAAGAAAGGTTCAACACTGTGAGTTGAATGCAAACATCACGAAGAAGGTTCTGAGAATGCTTCTGTTTAGTTCTGTGCGGTTTATCCCGTTTCCAACGAAATCCTCAGAGAGGACCAAATATCCACTTGCAGTTTCTACAAAAAGAGTGTTTCAAAGCTGCACTATCAAAGAAAGGTTCAGCACTGTGAGTTGAATGCAAACATCACGAAGAGGGCTCTGAGAATTCTTCTGTCTTCTTTTTATAGGAAGTTATTTCCTTTACTACGGTAGGCCTCAAAGAAGTGCAATTATCCCCTTGAAGTTTCTACAAAAAGAGTGTTTCAAACCTGAACTATCAAAGAAAGTTTCCACACTGTGAGTTGAATGCAGACATCAAGAAGAAGGTTCTGAGAATGCTTCTGTTTAGTCAGCTGAAATTATCCCGTTTCCAACGAATTCCTCAGAGAGGTCCAAATATGCACTTGCAGATTCTGCAGAAAGTGTGTTTCTAAACTGCTACATCGCAAGGAATGTTCAGCTCTGTGAGTTCCACTCAATCATCCCAAAGAATTTTCTGAGAAAGCTTCTGTCTAGATGTCGTGTGAAGATATACCCGTTTCGAACGAAGGACACAGAGTGGTCCAAATATCCACTTGTAGATCCTGCAAAAAGAGTGTTTCAAACGTGAACTTTGAAAGGAAAGTTCAACTCTGGGATTTGAATGCAAACATCACAAAGAAGATTCTGAGACTGCTTCTGTATAGTTTTTATGTGAAGATGATTCCGTTTCCAACGAAATCTTCCAAGAGGTCTACATGTCCCCTTGCAGATGCCACAGAAAGAGAGTTTCAAAACTGCGCTCTCAAAAGGAGTGTTCAACTCTGTGAGTTGAATGCAGTCATCACAGAGAAGCTTCTGAGAATGCTTCTATCCTAGTATTTAGGTGAAGATATTTCCTTTTCCACCACAAACCACAAAGCCCTCCAAACGTCCACTTGCAGATTCTAGAAAAAGAGTGTTTCATAGCTGCTCTTTCCAAAGGAAAGTTCAACTCTGGGAGTTGAATACAAACATCACCAAAAAGTTCCTGAGAATGCATCTGTCTAGTTTTTCTATGAAGCTATTCCCTTTACTACCATAGACCTCAAAGCGCTCCAAATCTCCACTTGCACATTCCACAACAAGAGTGTTTCCAAACTGCTCTATCAATAGGAATGTTCAACTCTGTGAGGTGAATGCAATCATCACAAAGCAGTTTCTGAGAATGCTTCCGTTTAGTTAGGTGCAGTTATCCCGTTTCCAACGAAATCCTCAGAGAGGTCCAAATATCCACTTCTAGATTCTACAAAAAGTGTGTCTCAAACCTGCTCCATCCAAAGGAATGTTCAGCTCTGTGAGTTAAACTCAATCATCACAAAGTATTTTCTGAGAATGCTTCTGTCTAGATTTTATGCGAAGATGTACCCTGTTTCGAACGAAGGCCACAGAGTGGTCCAAATATCCACTTGCAGATCCTACAAAAAGAGTGTTTCAAACCTGAACTATCAAAGGAAGGTTCAACTCTGGGATTTGAATGCAAACATCACCAAGATGTTTCTGAGAATGCTTCTGTTTAGTTTTTATGTGAAGATATTCCCGTTTCCAAAGACATCTTCGGAGAGGTCCACGTATCCACTTGCAGATTCCACAAAAAGAGAGTTTCAACACTGCTCTATCCATAGGAGGGTTCAACTCTGTGAGTTGAATGCAATCATCACAGAGAAGTTTCTGAGAAGGCTTCTCTCCAGTTTTTATGTGACCATAATTCGTTTTCCACCACAGGCCTGAAAGCGCTCCAAATGTCCACTTGCAGACACTACGAAAAGCATGTTTCAGAACTACTCTATGAAAAGCAATGTGAAACTCTGGAAGTTGAACACAAACATCACAGAGAAGTTTCTGAGAATGCTTCTGTTTAGCTTTTCTGTGAAGATTCTCCCGTTTCCAACGAAATCTTCAAAGAGGTCCAAATATCCACTTGCAGATTCCACAGAAAGAGTGATTGGAAACTGCTCTTTGAAAAGGAACCTTCAACTCTGTGAGTTGAATGCAATCATCACAAAGAAGTTTCTGACAATGCTTCTATCTAGCTTTTACAGGAAGATAATTCCTTTTCCACCACAGGCCTCAAAGCCCTCCAAATGTCCACTTGCAGATTCTGGAAAAAGAGTATTTCAAAGCTTCTCTCTCGAAAGGATAGTTCAACTCTGTGAGTTGAATGCAAGCATCACAAAGAAGTTTCTGAGAATGCTACTGTCTAGCTTTTATATGAAGCTATTTCCTTTACTACCATAGGCCTCAAAGCGGTCCATATCTCCACTTGCAGATTCTACACAAAGAGAGTTTCCAAACTGCTCTGTCAAAGGGAATGTTCAACTCTGTGACTTGAATGCAATCATAACAAAGTAGTTTCTGAGAATGCTTCTGTTTTAGTTCTGTGCGGTTTATCCCGTTTCCAACGAAATCCTCAGAGAGGCCCACATATCCACTTGCACATTCTACAAATAGTGTGTTTTGAAACTGCTCCATCCAAAGGAATGTTCAGCTCTGTGAGTTAAACTCAGTCGTCACCAAGAGTTTTCTGTGAATGCTTCTGTTTAGTTCTGTGCAGTTTATCCCTTTTCCAACGAAATCCTCAGAGAGGACCAAATATCCATTTGCAGTTTCTACAAAAAGAGTGTTTCAAAGCTGAACTATCAAAGAAAGGTTCAGCACTGTGAGTTGAATGCAGACATCACGAAGAGGGTTCTGAGAATGCTTCTGTTTTAGTTCTGTGCGGTTTATCCCGTTTCCAACGAAATCCTCAGAGAGGACCAAACATCCACTTGCAGTTTCTACAAAAAGAGTGTTTCAAAGCTGCACTATCAAAGAAAGGTTCAGCACTGTGAGTTGAATGCAAACATCACGAAGAGGGCTCTGAGAATTCTTCTGTCTTCTTTCTATAGGAAGTTATTTCCTTTACTACGGTAGGCCTCAAAGAAGTGCCATTATCCCCTTGCAGTTTCTACAAAAAGAGTGTTTCAAACCTGAACTATCAAAGAAAGGTTCCACACTGTGAGTTGAATGCAGACATCACGAAGAAGGTTCTGAGAATGCTTCTGTTTAGTCAGCTGAAATTATCCCGTTTCCAACGAATTCCTCAGAGAGGTCCAAATATGCACTTGCAGATTCTGCAGAAAGTGTGTTTCTAAACTGCTACATCGCAAGGAATGTTCAGCTCTGTGAGTTCCACTCAATCATCCCAAAGAATTTTCTGAGAAAGCTTCTGTCTAGATGTCATGTGAAGATATACCCGTTTCGAACGAAGGACACAGAGTGGTCCAAATATCCACTTGTAGATCCTGCAAAAAGAGTGTTTCAAACGTGAACTTGGAAAGGAAAGTTCAACTCTGGGATTTGAATGCAAACATCACAAAGAAGATTCTGAGACTGCTTCTGTATAGTTTTTATGTGAAGATGATTCCGTTTCCAACGAAATCTTCAAAGAGGTCTACATGTCCCCTTGCAGATGCCACAGAAAGAGAGTTTCAAAACTGCGCTCTCAAAAGGAGTGTTCAACTCCGTGAGTTGAATGCAGTCATCACAGAGAAGCTTCTGAGAATGCTTCTATCTAGTATTTAGGTGAAGATATTTCCTTTTCCACCACAAACCACAAAGCCCTCCAAACGTCCACTTGCAGATTCTAGAAAAAGAGTGTTTCATAGCTGCTCTTTCCAAAGGAAAGTTCAACTCTGGGAGTTGAATACAAACATCACCAAAAAGTTCCTGAGAATGCATCTGTCTAGTTTTTCTATGAAGCTATTCCCTTTACTACCATAGGCCTCAAAGCGCTCCAAATCTCCACTTGCACATTCCACAACAAGAGTGTTTCCAAACTGCTCTATCAATAGGAATGTTCAACTCTGTGAGGTGAATGCAATCATCACAAAGCAGTTTCTGAGAATGCTTCCGTTTAGTTAGGTGCAGTTATCCCGTTTCCAACGAAATCCTCAGAGAGGTCCAAATATCCACTTGTAGATTCTACAAAAAGTGTGTCTCAAACCTGCTCCATCCAAAGGAATGTTCAGCTCTGTGAGTTCAACTCAATCATCACAAAGTATTTTCTGAGAATGCTTCTGTCTAGATTTTTTGCGAAGATGTACCCGTTTCGAACGAAGGCCACAGAGTGGTCCAAATATCCACTTGCAGATCCTACAAAAAGAGTGTTTCAAACCTGAACTATCAAAGGAAGGTTCAACTCTGGGATTTGAATGCAAACATCACCAAGAAGTTTCTGAGAATGCTTCTGTTTAGTTTTTATGTGAAGATATTCCCGTTTCCAAAGACATCTTCGGAGAGGTCCACATATCCGCTTGCAGATTCCACAAAAAGAGAGTTTCAACACTGCTCTATCCATAGGAGGGTTCAACTCTGTGAGTTGAATGCAATCATCACAGAGAAGTTTCTGAGAAGGCTTCTCTCCAGTTTTTATGTGACCATAATTCGTTTTCCACCACAGGCCTGAAAGCGCTCCAAATGTCCACTTGCAGACACTACGAAAAGCATGTTTCAGAACTACTCTATGAAAAGCAACGTGAAACTCTGGGAGTTGAACACAAACATCACAGAGAAGTTTCTGAGAATGCTTCTGTTTAGCTTTTCTGTGAAGATTCTCCCGTTTCCAACGAAATCTTCAAAGAGGTCCAAATATCCACTTGCAGATTCCACAGAAAGAGTGATTGGAAACTGCTCTTTGAAAAGGAACCTTCAACTCTGTGACTTGAATGCAATCATCACAAAGAAGTTTCTGACAATGCTTCTATCTAGCTTTTACGGGAAGATAATTCCTTTTCCACCACAGGCCTCAAAGCCCTCCAAATGTCCACTTGCAGATTCTGGAAAAAGAGTGTTTCAAAGCTTCTCTCTCGAAGGGAAAGTTCAACTCTGTGAGTTGAATGCAAGCATCACAAAGAAGTTTCTGAGAATGCTACTGTCTAGCTTTTATATGAAGCTATTTCCTTTACTACCATAGGCCTCAAAGCGGTCCATATCTCCACTTGCAGATTCTACACAAAGAGAGTTTCCAAACTGCTCTGTCAAAGGGAATGTTCAACTCTGTGACTTGAATGCAATCATCACAAAGTAGTTTCTGAGAATGCTTCTGTTTAGTTCTGTGCGGTTTATCCCGTTTCCAACGAAATCCTCAGAGAGGCCTAAATATCCACTTGCACATTCTACAAATAGTGTGTTTCGAAACTGCTCCATCCAAAGGAATGTTCAGCTCTGTGAGTTAAACTCAGTCGTCACCAAGAGTTTTCTGTGAATGCTTCTGTTTTAGTTCTGTGCGGGTTATCCCGTTTCCAACGAAATCCTCAGAGAGGTCCAAATATCTACTTGCAGTTTCTACAGAAAGACCGTTTCAAACCTGAACTATCAAAGAAAGGTTCAACACTGTGAGTTGAATGCAAACATCACGAAGAAGGTTCTGAGAATGCTTCTGTTTAGTTCTGTGCGGTTTATCCCGTTTCCAACGAAATCCTCAGAGAGGACCAAATATCCACTTGCAGTTTCTACAAGAAGAGTGTTTCAAAGCTGAACTATCAAAGAAAGGTTCAGCACTGTGAGTTGAATGCAAACATCACGAAGAGGGTTCTGAGAATGCTTCTGTCTTCTTTTTATAGGAAGTTATTTCCTTTACTACGATAGGCCTCAAAGAAGTGCAATTATCCCCTTGCAGTTTCTACAAAAAGAGTGTTTCAAACCTGAACTATCAAAGAAAGGTTCCACACTGTGAGTTGAATGCAGACATCACGAAGAAGGTTCTGAGAATGCTTCTGTTTAGTCAGCTGAAATTATCCCGTTTCCAACGAATTCCTCAGAGAGGTCCAAATATGCACTTGCAGATTCTGCAGAAAGTGTGTTTCTAAACTGCTCCATCGCAAGGAATGTTCAGCTCTGTGAGTTCAACTCAATCATCCCAAAGAATTTTCTGAGAAAGCTTCTGTCTAGATGTCATGTGAAGATATACCCGTTTCGAACGAAGGACACAGAGTGGTCCAAATATCCACTTGTAGATCCTGCAAAAAGAGTGTTTCAAACGTGAACTTTGAAAGGAAAGTTCAATTCTGGGATTTGAATGCAAACATCACAAAGAAGATTCTGAGACTGCTTCTGTATAGATTTTATGTGAAGATGATTCCGTTTCCAACGAAATCTTCAAAGAGGTCTACATGTCCCCTTGCAGATGCCACAGAAGGAGAGTTTCAAAACTGCGCTCTCAAAAGGAGTGTTCAACTCCGTGAGTTGAATGCAGTCATCTCAGAGAAGCTTCTGAGAATGCTTCTATCTAGTATTTAGGTGAAGATATTTCCTTTTCCACCACAAACCACAAAGCCCTCCAAACGTCCACTTGCAGATTCTAGAAAAAGAGTGTTTCATAGCTGCTCTTTCCAAAGGAAAGTTCAACTCTGGGAGTTGAATACAAACATCACCAAAAAGTTCCTTAGAATGCATCTGTCTAGTTTTTCTATGAAGCTATTCCCTTTACTACCACAGGCCTCAAAGCGCTCCAAATCTCCACTTGCACATTCCACAACAAGAGTGTTTCCAAACTGCTCTATCAATAGGAATGTTCAACTCTGTGAGGTGAATGCAATCATCACAAAGCAGTTTCTGAGAATGCTTCCGTTTAGTTAGGTGCAGTTATCCCGTTTCCAACGAAATCCTCAGAGAGGTCCAAATATCCACTTGTAGATTCTACAAAAAGTGTGTCTCAAACCTGCTCCATCCAAAGGAATGGTCAGCTCTGTGATTTAAACTCAATCATCACAAAGTATTTTCTGAGAATGCTTCTGTCTAGATTTTATGTGAAGATGTACCCGTTTCGAACGAAGGCCACAGAGTGGTCCAAATATCCACTTGCAGATCCTACAAAAAGAGTGTTTCAAACCTGAACTATCACAGGAAGGTTCAACTCTGGGATTTGAATGCAAACATCACCAAGAAGTTTCTGAGAATGCTTCTGTTTAGTTTTTATGTGAAGATATTCCCGTTTCCAAAGACATCTTCGGAGAGGTCCACATATCCACTTGCAGATTCCACAAAAAGAGAGTTTCAACACTGCTCTATCCATAGGAGGGTTCAACTCTGTGAGTTGAATGCAATCATCACAGAGAAGTTTCTGAGAAGGCTTCTCTCCAGTTTTTATGTGACCATAATTCGTTTTCCACCACAGGCCTGAAAGCGCTCCAAATGTCCACTTGCAGACACTACGAAAAGCATGTTTCAGAACTACTCTATGAAAAGCAACGTGAAACTCTGGGAGTTGAACACAAACATCACAGAGAAGTTTCTGAGAATGCTTCTGTTTTAGTTCTGTGCGTTTTATCCCGTTTCCAACGAAATCCTCAGAGAGGCCCAAATATCCACTTGCAGATTCCACAGAAAGAGTGATTGGAAACTGCTGTTTGAAAAGGAACCTTCAACTCTGTGAGTTGAATGCAATCATCACAAAGAAGTTTCTGACAATGCTTCTGTTTTAGTTCTGTGCGGTTTATCCCGTTTCCAACGAAATCCTCAGAGAGGACCAAACATCCACTTGCAGTTTCTACAAAAAGAGTGTTTCAAAGCTGCACTATCAAAGAAAGGTTCAGCACTGTGAGTTGAATGCAAACATCACGAAGAGGGCTCTGAGAATTCTTCTGTTTAGTTCTGTGCGGTTTATCCCGTTTCCAACGAAATCCTCAGAGAGGACCAAATATCCACTTGCAGTTTCTACAAGAAGAGTGTTTCAAAGCTGAACTATCAAAGAAAGGTTCAGCACTGTGAGTTGAATGCAAACATCACGAAGAGGGTTCTGAGAATGCTTCTGTCTTCTTTTTATAGGAAGTTATTTCCTTTACTACGATAGGCCTCAAACAAGTGCAGTTATCCCCTTGCAGTTTCTACAAAAAGAGTGTTTCAAACCTGAACTATCAAAGAAAGGTTCCACACTGTGAGTTGAATGCAGACATCACGAAGAAGGTTCTGAGAATGCTTCTGTTTAGTCAGCTGAAATTATCCCGTTTCCAACGAATTCCTCAGAGAGGTCCAAATATGCACTTGCAGATTCTGCAGAAACTGTGTTTCTAAACTGCTACATCGCAAGGAATGTTCAGCTCTGTGAGTTCAACTCAATCATCCCAAAGAATTTTCTGAGAAAGCTTCTGTCTAGATGTCATGTGAAGATATACCCGTTTCGAACGAAGGACACAGAGTGGTCCAAATATCCACTTGTAGATCCTGCAAAAAGAGTGTTTCAAACGTGAACTTTGAAAGGAAAGTTCAACTCTGGGATTTGAATGCAAACATCACAAAGAAGATTCTGAGACTGCTTCTGTATAGTTTTTATGTGAAGATGATTCCGTTTCCAGCGAAATCTTCAGAGAGGTCTACATGTCCCCTTGCAGATGCCACAGAAAGAGAGTTTCAAAACTGCGCTCTCAAAAGGAGTGTTCAACTCCGTGAGTTGAATGCAGTCATCACAGAGAAGCTTCTGAGAATGCTTCTATGTAGTATTTAGGTGAAGATATTTCCTTTTCCACCACAAACCACAAAGCCCTCCAAACGTCCACTTGCAGATTCTAGAAAAAGAGTGTTTCATAGCTGCTCTTTCCAAAGGAAAGTTCAACTCTGGGAGTTGAATACAAACATCACCAAAAAGTTCCTGAGAATGCATCTGTCTAGTTTTTCTATGAAGTTATTCCCTTTACTACCATAGGCCTCAAAGCGCTCCAAATCTCCACTTGCACATTCCACAACAGGAGTGTTTCCAAACTCCTCTATCAATAGGAATGTTCAACTCTGTGAGGTGAATGCAATCATCACAAAGCAGTTTCTGAGAATGCTTCCGTTTAGTTAGGTGCAGTTATCCCGTTTCCAACGAAATCCTCAGAGAGGTCCAAATATCCACTTGTAGATTCTACAAAAAGTGTGTCTCAAACCTGCTCCATCCAAAGGAATGGTCAGCTCTGTGATTTAAACTCAATCATCACAAAGTATTTTCTGAGAATGCTTCTGTCTAGATTTTATGCGAAGATGTACCCGTTTCGAACAAAGGCCACAGTGTGGTCCAAATATCCACTTGCAGATCCTACAAAAAGAGTGTTTCAAACCTGAACTATCAAAGGAAGGTTCAACTCTGGGATTTGAATGCAAACATCACCAAGAAGTTTCTGAGAATGCTTCTGTTTAGTTTTTATGTGAAGATATTCCCGTTTCCAAAGACATCTTCGGAGAGGTCCACATATCCACTTGCAGATTCCACAAAAAGAGAGTTTCAACACTGCTCTATCCATAGGAGGGTTCAACTCTGTGAGTTGAATGCAATCATCACAGAGAAGTTTCTGAGAAGGCTTCTCTCCAGTTTTTATGTGACCATAATTCGTTTTCCACCACAGGCCTGAAAGCGCTCCAAATGTCCACTTGCAGACACTACGAAAAGCATGTTTCAGAACTACTCTATGAAAAGCAATGTGAAACTCTGGAAGTTGAACACAAACATCACAGAGAAGTTTCTGAGAATGCTTCTGTTTAGCTTTTCTGTGAAGATTCTCCCGTTTCCAACGAAATCTTCAAAGAGGTCCAAATATCCACTTGCAGATTCCACAGAAAGAGTGATTGGAAACTGCTCTTTGAAAAGGAACCTTCAACTCTGTGAGTTGAATGCAATCATCACAAAGAAGTTTCTGACAATGCTTCTATCTAGCTTTTACAGGAAGATAATTCCTTTTCCACCACAGGCCTCAAAGCCCTCCAAATGTCCACTTGCAGATTCTGGAAAAAGAGTATTTCAAAGCTTCTCTCTCGAAAGGATAGTTCAACTCTGTGAGTTGAATGCAAGCATCACAAAGAAGTTTCTGAGAATGCTACTGTCTAGCTTTTATATGAAGCTATTTCCTTTACTACCATAGGCCTGAAAGCGGTCCATATCTCCACTTGCAGATTCTACACAAAGAGAGTTTCCAAACTGCTCTGTCAAAGGGAATGTTGAACTCTGTGACTTGAATGCAATCATCACAAAGTAGTTTCTGACAATGGTTCTGTTTAGTTCTGTGCCGTTTATCCCGTTTCCAACGAAATCCTCAGAGAGGCCCAAATATCCACTTGCACATTCTACAAATAGTGTGTTTCAAAACTGCTCCATCCAAAGGAATGTTCAGCTCTGTGAGTTAAACTCAGTCGTCACCAAGAGTTTTCTGTGAATGCTTCTGTTTTAGTTCTGTGCGGGTTACCCCGTTTCCAACGAAATCCTCAGAGAGGTCCAAATATCTACTTGCAGTTTCTACAGAAAGACCGTTTCAAACCTGAACTATCAAAGAAAGGTTCAACACCGTGAGTTGAATGCAAACATCACGAAGAAGGTTCTGAGAATGCTTCTGTTTAGTTCTGTGAGGTTTATCCCGTTTCCAACGAAATCCTCATAGAGGAACAAGTATCCACTTGCAGTTTCTACAAAAAGAGTGTTTCAAAGCTGAACTATCAAAGAAAGGTTCAGCACTGTGAGTTGAATGCAAACATCACGAAGAGGGTTCTGAGAATGCTTCTGTCTTCTTTCTATAGGAAGTTATTTCCTTTACTACGGTAGGCCTCAAAGAAGTGCAATTATCCCCTTGCAGTTTCTACAAAAAGAGTGTTTCAAACCTGAACTATCAAAGAAAGGTTCCACACTGTGAGTTGAATGCAGACATCACGAAGAAGGTTCTGAGAATGCTTCTGTTTAGTCAGCTGAAATTATCCCGTTTCCAACGAATTCCTCAGAGAGGTCCAAATATGCACTTGCAGATTCTGCAGAAAGTGTGTTTCTAAACTGCTACATCGCAAGGAATGTTCAGCTCTGTGAGTTCAACTCAATCATCGCAAAGAATTTTCTGAGAAAGCTTCTGTCTAGATGTCATGTGAAGATATACCCGTTTCGAACGAAGGACACAGAGTGGTCCAAATATCCACTTGTAGATCCTGCAAAAAGAGTGTTTCAAACGTGAACTTTGAAAGGAAAGTTCAACTCTGGGATTTGAATGCAAACATCACAAAGAAGATTCTGAGACTGCTTCTGTATAGTTTTTATGTGAAGATGATTCCGTTTCCAACGAAATCTTCAGAGAGGTCTACATGTCCCCTTGCAGATCCCACAGAAAGAGAGTTTCAAAACTGCACTCTCAAAAGGAGTGTTCAACTCCGTGAGTTGAATGCAGTCATCACAGAGAAGCTTCTGAGAATGCTTCTATCTAGTATTTAGGTGAAGATATTTCCTTTTCCACCACAAACCACAAAGCCCTCCAAACGTCCACTTGCAGATTCTAGAAAAAGAGTGTTTCATAGCTGCTCTTTCCAAAGGAAAGTTCAACTCTGGGAGTTGAATACAAACATCACCAAAAAGTTCCTGAGAATGCATCTGTCTAGTTTTTCTATGAAGCTATTCCCTTTACTACCATAGGCCTCAAAGCGCTCCAAATCTCCACTTGCACATTCCACAACAAGAGTGTTTCCAAACTGCTCTATCAATAGGAATGTTCAACTCTGTGAGGTGAATGCAATCATCACAAAGCAGTTTCTGAGAATGCTTCCGTTTAGTTAGGTGCAGTTATCGCGTTTCCAACGAAATCCTCAGAGAGGTCCAAATATCCACTTGTAGATTCTACAAAAAGTGTGTCTCAAACCTGCTCCATCCAAAGGAATGTTCAGCTCTGTGAGTTAAACTCAATCATCACAAAGTATTTTCTGAGAATGCTTCTGTCTAGATTTTATGCGAAGATATACCCGTTTCGAACGAAGGCCACAGAGTGGTCCAAATATCCACTTGCAGATCCTACAAAAAGAGTGTTTCAAACCTGAACTATCAAAGGAAGGTTCAACTCTGGGATTTGAATGCAAACATCACCAAGAAGTTTCTGAGAATGCTTCTGTTTAGTTTTTATGTGAAGATATTCCCGTTTCCAAAGACATCTTCGGAGAGGTCCACATATCCACTTGCAGATTCCACAAAAAGAGAGTTTCAACACTGCTCTATCCATAGGAGGGTTCAACTCTGTGAGTTGAATGCAATCATCACAGAGAAGTTTCTGAGAAGGCTTCTCTCCAGTTTTTATGTGACCATAATTCGTTTTCCACCACTGGCCTGAAAGCTCTCCAAATGTCCACTTGCAGACAAAACGGAAAGCATGTTTCAGAACTACTCTATGAAAAGCAATGTGAAACTCTGGGAGTTGAACACAAACATCACAGAGAAGTTTCTGAGAATGCTTCTGTTTTAGTTCTGTGCGTTTTATCCCGTTTCCAACGAAATCCTCAGAGAGGCCCAAATATCCACTTGCAGATTCCACAGAAAGAGTGATTGGAAACTGCTGTTTGAAAAGGAACCTTCAACTCTGTGAGTTGAATGCAATCATCACAAAGAAGTTTCTGACAATGCTTCTATCTAGCTTTTATGGGAAGATAATTCCTTTTCCACCACAGGCCTCAAAGCCCTCCAAATGTCCACTTGCAGATTCTGGAAAAAGAGTGTTTCAAAGCTTCTCTCTCGAAAGGAAAGTTCAACTCTGTGAGTTGAATGCAAGCATCACAAAGAAGTTTCTGAGGATGCTACTGTCTAGCTTTTATATGAAGCTATTTCCTTTACTACCATAGTCCTCAAAGCATACCATATCTCCACTTGCAGATTCTACACAAAGAGAGTTTCCAAACTGCTCTGTCAAAGGGAATGTTCAGCTCTGTGGCTTGAATGCAATCATCACAAAGTAGTTTCTGAGAATGCTTCTGTTTTAGTTCTGTGCGTTTTATCCCGTTTCCAACGAAATCCTCAGAGAGGCCCAAATATCCACTTGCAGATTCTACAAATAGTGTGTTTCGAAACTGCTCCATCCAAAGGATTGTTCAGCTCTGTGAGTTAAACTCAGTCGTCACCAAGAGTTTTCTGTGAATGCTTCTGTTTTAGTTCTGTGCGGTTTATGCCGTTTCCAACGAAATCCTCAGAGAGGACCAAACATCCACTTGCAGTTTCTACAAAAAGAGTGTTTCAAAGCTGCACTATCAAAGAAAGGTTCAGCACTGTGAGTTGAATGCAAACATCACGAAGAGGGCTCTGAGAATTCTTCTGTTTAGTTCTGTGCGGTTTATCCCGTTTCCAACGAAATCCTCAGAGAGGACCAAATATCCACTTGCAGTTTCTACAAGAAGAGTGTTTCAAAGCTGAACTATCAAAGAAAGGTTCAGCACTGTGAGTTGAATGCAAACATCACGAAGAGGGTTCTGAGAATGCTTCTGTCTTCTTTCTATAGGAAGTTATTTCCTTTACTACGGTAGGCCTCAAAGAAGTGCAATTATCCCCTTGCAGTTTCTACAAAAAGAGTGTTTCAAACCTGAACTATCAAAGAAAGGTTCCACACTGTGAGTTGAATGCAGACATCACGAAGAAGGTTCTGAGAATGCTTCTGTTTAGTCAGCTGAAATTATCCCGTTTCCAACGAATTCCTCACAGAGGTCCAAATATGCACTTGCAGATTCTGCAGAAAGTGTGTTTCTAAACTGCTACATCGCAAGGAATGCTCAGCTCTGTGAGTTCAACTCAATCATCCCAAAGAATTTTCTGAGAAAGCTTCTGTCTAGATGTCATGTGAAGATATACCCGTTTCGAACGAAGGACACAGAGTGGTCCAAATATCCACTTGAAGATCCTGCAAAAAGAGTGTTTCAAACGTGAACTTTGAAAGGAAAGTTCAACTCTGGGATTTGAATGCAAACATCACAAAGAAGATTCTGAGACTGCTTCTGTATAGTTTTTATGTGAAGATGATTCCGTTTCCAACGAAATCTTCAAAGAGGTCTACATGTCCTCTTGCAGATGCCACAGAAAGAGAGTTTCAAAACTGCGCTCTCAAAAGGAGTGTTCAACTCCGTGAGTTGAATGCAGTCATCACAGAGAAGCTTCTGAGAATGCTTCTATCTAGTATTTAGGTGAAGATATTTCCTTTTCCACCACAAACCACAAAGCCCTCCAAACGTCCACTTGCAGATTCTAGAAAAAGAGTGTTTCATAGCTGCTCTTTCCAAAGGAAAGTTCAACTCTGGGAGTTGAATACAAACATCACCAAAAAGTTCCTGAGAATGCATCTGTCTAGTTTTTCTATGAAGCTATTCCCTTTACTACCATAGGCCTCAAAGCGCTCCAAATCTCCACTTGCACATTCCACAACAAGAGTGTTTCCAAACTGCTCTATCAATAGGAATGTTCAACTCTGTGAGGTGAATGCAATCATCACAAAGCAGTTTCTGAGAATGCTTCCGTTTAGTTAGGTGCAGTTATCCCGTTTCCAACGAAATCCTCAGAGAGGTCCAAATATCCACTTGTAGATTTTACAAAAAGTGTGTCTCAAACCTGCTCCATCCAAAGGAATGTTCAGCTCTGTGAGTTAAACTCAATCATCACAAAGTATTTTCTGAGAATGCTTCTGTCTAGATTTTATGCGAAGATATACCCGTTTCGAACGAAGGCCACAGAGTGGTCCAAATAGCCACTTGCAGATCCTACAGAAAGAGTGTTTCAAACCTGAACTATCAAAGGAAGGTTCAACTCTGGGATTTGAATGCAAACATCACCAAGAAGTTTCTGAGAATGCTTCTGTTTAGTTTTTATGTGAAGATATTCCCGTTTCCAAAGACATCTTCGGAGAGGTCCACATATCCACTTGCAGGTTCCACAAAAAGAGAGTTTCAACACTGCTCTATCCATAGGAGGGTTCAACTCTGTGAGTTGAATGCAATCATCACAGAGAAGTTTCTGAGAAGGCTTCTCTCCAGTTTTTATGTGACCATAATTCGTTTTCCACCACAGGCCTGAAAGCGCTCCAAATGTCCACTTGCAGACAGTATGAAAAGCATGTTTCAGAACTACTCTATGAGAAGCAATGTGAAACTCTGGGAGTTGAACACAAACATCACAGAGAAGTTTCTGAGAATGCTTCTGTTTTAGTTCTGTGCGTTTTATCCCGTTTCCAACGAAATCCTCAGAGAGGCCCAAATATCCACTTGCAGATTCCACAGAAAGAGTGATTGGAAACTGCTGTTTGAAAAGGAACCTTCAACTCTGTGAGTTGAATGCAATCATCACAAAGAAGTTTCTGACAATGCTTCTATCTAGCTTTTACGGGAAGATAATTCCTTTTCCACCACAGGCCTCAAAGCCCTCCAAATGTCCACTTGCAGATTCTGGAAAAAGAGTGTTTCAAAGCTTCTCTCTCGAAAGGAAAGTTCAACTCTGTGAGTTGAATGCAAGCATCACAAAGAAGTTTCTGAGAATGCTACTGTCTAGCTTTTATATGAAGCTATTTCCTTTACTACCATAGGCCTCAAAGCGGTCCATATCTCCACTTGCAGATTCTACACAAAGAGAGTTTCCAAACTGCTCTGTCAAAGGGAATGTTCAACTCTGTGACTTGAATGCAATCATCACAAAGTAGTTTCTGAGAATGCTTCTGTTTACTTCTGTGCGGTTTATCCCGTTTCCAACGAAATCCTCAGAGAGGCCCAAATATCCACTTGCAGATTCTACAAATAGTGTGTTTCGAAACTGCTCCATCCAAAGGAATGTTCAGCTCTGTGAGTTAAACTCAGTCGTCACCAAGAGTTTTCTGTGAATGCTTCTGTTGTAGTTCTGTGCGGTTTATCCCGTTTCCAACGAAATCCTCAGAGAGGTCCAAATATCTACTTGCAGTTTCTACAGAAAGACCGTTTCAAACCTGAACTATCAAAGAAAGGTTCAACACTGTGAGTTGAATGCAAACATCACGAAGAAGGTTCTGAGAATGCTTCTGTTTAGTTCTGTGCGGTTTATCCCGTTTCCAACGAAATCCTCAGAGAGGACCAAATATCCACTTGCAGTTTCTACAAAAAGAGTGTTTCAAAGCTGAACTATCAAAGAAAGATTCAGCACCGTGAGTTGAATGCAAACATCACGAAGAGGGTTCTGAGAATGCTTCTGTCTTCTTTTTATAGGAAGTTATTTCCTTTACTACGGTAGGCCTCAAAGAAGTGCAATTATCCCCTTGCAGTTTCTACAAAAAGAGTGATTCAAACCTGAACTATCAAAGAAAGGTTCCACACTGTGAGTTGAATGCAGACATCACGAAGAAGGTTCTGAGAATGCTTCTGTTTAGTCAGCTGAAATTATCCCGTTTCCAACGAATTCCTCAGAGAGGTCCAAATATGCACTTGCAGATTCTGCAGAAAGTGTGTTTCTAAACTGCTACATCGCAAGGAATGTTCAGCTCTGTGAGTTCCACTCAATCATCCCAAAGAATTTTCTGAGAAAGCTTCTGTCTAGATGTCATGTGAAGATATACCCGTTTCGAACGAAGGACACAGATTGGTCCAAATATCCACTTGTAGATCCTGCAAAAAGAGTGTTTCAAACGTGAACTTTGAAAGGAAAGTTCAACTCTGGGATTTGAATGCAAACATCACAAAGAAGATTCTGAGACTGCTTCTGTATAGTTTTTATGTGAAGATGATTCCGTTTCCAACGAAATCTTCAAAGAGGTCTACATGTCCGCTTGCAGATGCCACAGAAAGAGAGTTTCAAAACTGCGCTCTCAAAAGGAGTGTTCAATTCCGTGAGTTGAATGCAGTCATCACAGAGAAGCTTCTGAGAATGCCTCTATCTAGTATTTAGGTGAAGATATTTCCTTTTCCACCACAAACCACAAAGCCCTCCAAACGTCCACTTGCAGATTCTAGAAAAAGAGTGTTTCATAGCTGCTCTTTCCAAAGGAAAGTTCAACTCTGGGAGTTGAATACAAACATCACCAAAAAGTTCCTGAGAATGCATCTGTCTAGTTTTTCTATGAAGCTATTCCCTTTACTACCATAGGCCTCAAAGCGCTCCAAATCTCCACTTGCACATTCCACAACAAGAGTGTTTCCAAACTGCTCTATCAATAGGAATGTTCAACTCTGTGAGGTGAATGCAATCATCACAAAGCAGTTTCTGAGAATGCTTCCGTTTAGTTAGGTGCAGTTATCCCGTTTCCAACGAAATCCTCAGAGAGGTCCAAATATCCACTTGTAGATTCTACAAAAAGTGTGTCTCAAACCTGCTCCATCCAAAGGAATGGTCAGCTCTGTGATTTAAACTCAATCATCACAAAGTATTTTCTGAGAATGCTTCTGTCTAGATTTTATGCGAAGATATACCCGTTTCGAACGAAGGCCACAGAGTGGTCCAAATAGCCACTTGCAGATCCTACAGAAAGAGTGTTTCAAACCTGAACTATCAAAGGAAGGTTCAACTCTGGGATTTGAATGCAAACATCACCAAGAAGTTTCTGAGAATGCTTCTGTTTAGTTTTTATGTGAAGATATTCCCGTTTCCAAAGACATCTTCGGAGAGGTCCACATATCCACTTGCAGATTCCACAAAAAGAGAGTTTCAACACTGCTCTATCCATAGGAGGGTTCAACTCTGTGAGTTGAATGCAATCATCACAGAGAAGTTTCTGAGAAGGCTTCTCTCCAGTTTTTATGTGACCATAATTCGTTTTCCACCACAGGCCTGAAAGCGCTCCAAATGTCCACTTGCAGACACTACGAAAAGCATGTTTCAGAACTACTCTATGAAAAGCAACGTGAAACTCTGGGAGTTGAACACAAACATCACAGAGAAGTTTCTGAGAATGCTTCTGTTTAGCTTTTCTGTGAAGATTCTCCCGTTTCCAACGAAATCTTCAAAGAGGTCCAAATATCCACTTGCAGATTCCACAGAAAGAGTGATTGGAAACTGCTCTTTGAAAAGGAACCTTCAACTCTGTGACTTGAATGCAATCATCACAAAGAAGTTTCTGACAATGCTTCTATCTAGCTTTTACGGGAAGTTAATTCCTTTTCCACCACAGGCCTCAAAGCCCTCCAAATGTCCACTTGCAGATTCTGGAAAAAGAGTGTTTCAAAGCTTCTCTCTCGAAAGGAAAGTTCAACTCTGTGAGTTGAATGCAAGCATCACAAAGAAGTTTCTGAGAATGCTACTGTCTAGCTTTTATATGAAGCTATTTCCTTTACTACCATAGGCCTCAAAGCGGTCCATATCTCCACTTGCAGATTCTACACAAAGAGAGTTTCCAAACTGCTCTGTCAAAGGGAATGTTCAACTCTGTGACTTGAATGCAATCATCACAAAGTAGTTTCTGAGAATGCTTCTGTTTAGTTCTGTGCGGTTTATCCCGTTTCCAACGAAATCCTCAGAGAGGCCTAAATATCCACTTGCACATTCTACAAATAGTGTGTTTCGAAACTGCTCCATCCAAAGGAATGTTCAGCTCTGTGAGTTAAACTCAGTCGTCACCAAGAGTTTTCTGTGAATGCTTCTGTTTTAGTTCTGTGCGGGTTATCCCTTTTCCAACGAAATCCTCAGAGAGGTCCAAATATCTACTTGCAGTTTCTACAGAAAGACCGTTTCAAACCTGAACTATCAAAGAAAGGTTCAACACTGTGAGTTGAATGCAAACATCACGAAGAAGGTTCTGAGAATGCTTCTGTTTAGTTCTGTGCAGTTTATCCCGTTTCCAACGAATTCCTCAGAGAGGACCAAATATCCACTTGCAGTTTCTACAAAAAGAGTGTTTCAAAGCTGAACTATCAAAGAAAGGTTCAGCACTGTGAGTTGAATGCAAACATCACGAAGAGGGTTCTGAGAATGCTTGTGTCTTCTTTCTATAGGAAGTTATTTCCTTTACTACGGTAGGCCTCAAAGAAGTGCAATTATCCCCTTGCAGTTTCTACAAAAAGAGTGTTTCAAACCTGAACTATCAAAGAAAGGTTCCACACTGTGAGTTGAATGCAGACATCACGAAGAAGGTTCTGAGAATGCTTCTGTTTAGTCAGCTGAAATTATCCCGTTTCCAACGAATTCCTCAGAGAGGTCCAAATATGCACTTGCAGATTCTGCAGAAAGTGTGTTTCTAAACTGCTACATCGCAAGGAATGCTCAGCTGCTGTGAGTTCAAGTCAATCATCCCAAACAATTTTCTGAGAAAGCTTCTGTCTAGATGTCATGTGAAGATATACCCGTTTCGAACGAAGGACACAGAGTGGTCCAAATATCCACTTGTAGATCCTGCAAAAAGAGTGTTTCAAACGTGAACTTTGAAAGGAAAGTTCAACTCGGGGATTTGAATGCAAACATCACAAAGAAGATTCTGAGACTGCTTCTGTGTAGTTTTTATGTGAAGATGATTCCGTTTCCAACGAAATCTTCAAAGAGGTCTACATGTCCCCTTGCAGA